>NC_000005.10:97685564-97988594 GCF_000001405.40 Homo sapiens | reverse complement strand
AATTTCCTCCTTTTTACAAAGATTTCCCTGCTGTATATGGTAAAAAGTTCTCAGAAATCCTAGTTCCAAAAGCTTCCCCATGGCTCCAGTGTATGATACCGATTTGGTTCCTTCACCTTGGTAATGTTGTTAACCTTTTGGACACCAGTTGAATTCCGAACTGTTTGTTAGAGTCTAGTGACTGGTACTTGGATGGGGTGAGAAATTTTTTTTGTGGGGCAGGAGGTATTTGTTTGTTTTTTTTAAAAAAATCTTTATTTTTTATAAAAAAAATTGTAAGGTACAATATGCATATATAATTTACCATTTTTACAATTTTTATGTGTACAGTTTAGTGCTGGTTGGGGAGTTTTATAATGTGGAAATTCTTGGAAGAGTATTTAACTCTGAAACACAGGTCTGAGCTCCATCAGACCAATAATTGTGGGAAATCAGGGCTCCAAAGTAAAAATAATGCTGCCACAAATAATTAATTGTATATACGAGCAAGAAAAATGAAACCAGGGAGAAGCCTTGTACCACCTAAATAGTTTTCTTTCCAATATATTTGTAAGGGAAGCATTAAAGAGGAATTAAAAAGAAGAGTGAGATAGATACTTTTTTTTCTATTTTCGTTCACCTGAGCCTTTCAGAGGCTTTTCAGTTTTTAAGATATTTTCTATAAAAAAGAATGGCTGAGAACATAAAAACTTTCTGAACTTCCTTAAAGTAAAAACCATTCAATAGATGAAACAATACAAATTTGAAAAATAAGACATTTTAAAATTCAAATTTGTAGCAGCACAATTTCAAAAAGAGAAAATTGGAAAAGAAGAAAAAAATCAATAATACTGTTTTTAAAACCGATACTTGGCTTTGTATTTCGAATATCAATGCCATATGGCTACCTTGCTCTGGATCTGGAAAACCTTATGACCAAGGAGTGAAGTTCGAACAATTCGATGAGACATTAGCTTCAAGTTAAGTGCCGCTCACCTCTTCATTGACCATTTCACAGTTCAAAGTCGCAATGGATGAATATTTTTTGTACTTGAACATCATAAAATGGAATTCAGAAAGGGCATTTCTTAATGTATATTTATTAAGCTACTACTGAAACTTGTTAGCCCTAAAAATCAGCATTATTTGAAAGTACAAAATATCTTGCTTTATGTGGTTCCCGGTCATTTCTTTGTCACAATGTCTTTATTCTTTAATAACTGTTTCAATTATTTTTAATTATCACTTCAAAAGAAACATGAAATTGTACACAATTATGTGTTGCCCCTAAAAACAGCATTATTTTAGGAGGATTAAGTTTTTAAGATTTCTACAATAAATTGACATTGAAATTCAGGAGCAGTTTTGTTTGTTTGTTTACAGATGAGGTCTCACTTTGTTGCTCAGGCTGGAGTTCAGTGGCTATTCACAAGGGGCAATCATGGTGCACTACAGCCTTGAACGTCTCAAGTGATCCTCTTGCCTCAGCCTTCCAAGTAGCTGGGACTACACCTGGTAAAAGTAGATTCATTATTACATCTTTTAATTTATATTTATGCTATATTCTATTTTTGTATATTGTAGCTACTTAATTTTCTAGAAAATGTTAAGAAATAGGTAATGGATGAACAAATACATCCACTTTTATACGGAGTCTTGTCATGCTAGTCAATCAATCAGTTTTATAGTATTTTACCTCTCAATCAACCAATTAATTGCTTGAATAAACTTAGCCACCTGGACTTTAAGACTAGGCAATCTAAAGAATGAGATACACTTCAATAATGCAAAGACATACCTAGAAGAAAATAAGGACACTTCTTTACATCTGCTTCTAATCCGTTTCAAGAATTAGGTAGTTAAGAAGTAAATTAGGAGGAAGACAATAGAATTGAGTAAAATTCTAGAGAGGTATTAATGTCCCTTGCATTTAAACTGAAGAGACAGAATGATCTATTACAGAGCTAAAGAGCATGCTTTCTGGAGTCTAACATGTATCATTCTTAATTCTACAACTTTCTGTCTGTTTAAGTTGTTTTACCTCTCTGAGCCTCATCTAGAAAATGGAAATGCACCTATCTCTTTACACTTTGGTGAATGTAGAATGAAATAATGTATATAAAAGCATTTAGTAGAGTGCTGAGCACAAAGTATGTATGTTTATTAAATTACTGTCCTGAAAAAAAATCATTTCTGTAGAAAGGAAAAGTAGGGAGGATGAAAAGTGGAGGAAGTACCTGGCTTCTGATAAACAACATATCTGGCTAAATCTCCCTTTAGATGCCTCATAGGGTCCTGCTTTGCCAGTAGGTGACACTGTCATGTCATTAGGAAGGATTTGCAAAGCCCATTCGTGACCAAATGAAACAAATTCCTGGATCAGTTAGTCATGTTCGCCCCGATCACAAAGGGAGCAGAGTCACTTTTTTCTCACGCATGTTCATCACTTCTCCCATTTAAGTTGCTCTCCATCTAAGCTGCTTCTCCCAATTCTGGGTCTCCTATCTCACCAATACCTTCTGACAGAACATCCACTTCTTTTTTCTCATTTTTATCACAGATATCTGAAGCTGAAAATATTTCTGAAAATCAGCAACATCACCTTATTTTTCCTTTAAAATCTGAAGAAAGCAAAACAAAACACAGTAAAAAAACTATGGTATCAATGAGAAAAGGAACACTTACTATGCCAATGCTTAAAGGAACTTTACAAGAGAAAGTACTTTCTTCTTCTCATGAAGCAAGCCTATTTTATATTTTTAACAACTACCATTTACTAAGAGTATACAGCAATGGTGGGAAACACTGGCAACAGCTATGATTGGAATACTTAGCCACATTTTCAGAGTGGGCATATCATATAAACCCACCCTGTGCAATGATCTGGACAGTGATGATGGGTAAATGGTTTTGAGTGGGTTGTTTGTTCTCCAGAAGTGGCAGGAGATGGGGGTCCCATTTCGTTCAGATAGTCCTGAATGTTCACAGAAAAGGAATCATAGAAAAGAGATCACTGCTGGGGGAAAAAAAGAAGATATTAATTTTATTCTGTAATTTGGGAAATCTTGGTTGAGTATTACTTCTGTTAATACTACAAAAATATACTTTTTTTCCATTTAAAAAGATACCCTGACACGTCCATTATTTTTAAAGTGACATTTAATTACAGGGATGCTTAAATAACACCATCATTGTCAATGAAAACTGGGAGGATTTATGTACAAAATGTTTCTCTTTCTTCACAGATAAACTTTAAACTGCCTTTTAAGTTAAAAGTGATTTTGTATCATACATTTTCTGTGTAAAGCTTAAACTTTTTGCACTTTATATTGTTATATATTTTTTGGTTAAAAGTTAAGATTTGCATATAGACCTACAGTGAAACCCCAATTAATAACTACTTTACATAGAGTACTGTCTTCTTTAGTGTTTCTTGAGCTCCAAATTTTGGTTTAAAGTCTAGGAAATTGTTTCCTGGAAAAAAAATCTCTAGTTGTTAACTAGTCAATACCCATTCATTTTTAAAATACATGTTCTGAACTAAAAAGAATAAAATGATTACTGCCAAGTTGGCATTTCAAGTGATGTGGTGGAATCTATAGTCTCAGCCTTCCCATTTAAACCACTGCTGTTGGAAACAGCAACGAGAAAAGAATGCACAAAGGGTGTCCTTCCGTTTAAATTAGAAATGATCAAAATGATAGGACTTCTCAGAGAAATGTGGGGTATTAAACAAACGGACAGAAGGGACCATCCCTCCCCAAATTCACTGGGGAGGGACACAAATCCTTAGTCAAAGCATACTGAAATAACTTCAGTGATCACTAAAAGCTCTAATTTTTTGTGTCATTGCTAATCAGTGGTCCTGACACAAAAAAAGATATTTTCATATCTAAAAATAAGGAATATACCAGATAGAAAGCTGGGGCAGGTGTCACCTATTTCCATGTGTCCCATTCCTAGTTTCTTCTGATTTGTGTGGCTAGACTTAATTAATATGCAAAAACTCATTTAACATTTTAGCATCTCAAAGAGAAACCATTGAATATCAAACTGATAAGAAATGATAGTATAGTAATCCCCCCTTATCCACAGGGGATACCTTCTAAGATCTCCAGTGGATGCCTGAAACTGCAAGTAGTACCGAACCCTAGATACACCATGTTTTCCCTAAATGTACATACATATGATAAGGTTTAATTTATAAATTAAGCACAGTAAGAGATTAACAATATCAAAGAAGAAAATAGAAAATTATAACAATGTACTGTAATTAAAGTTATATAAATGTGTTCTCTCTCAAAATATCTTGTTGTACTGTTCTCCCTATTTTCGGATTGTGTTGACCACAGGTAAGTGAAAACTCAGAAAAGTGACCCCACAGATAAGGGGAGACTCCTTTACATTTGGTCTAAGCCAAGACTCCAGTTCCTCTCTGTAAATAAGAGTGGCATATCCTCCTGAAACAGGATCTGAGGAGTAGCAAAATGCAAGGTGTAGGATGTGAAAAGATGGAAGACGTGTTTGCAAATACAAAATGCAATCAAAGTTTCAAATAATGTTGAATTCTATAAATTTTAATGTTTCTGCTTCCAGTAATTCAAGTAAGTATTCATATCAAAGGAGAATGTATATAGTGAATTACTCCAACATTCAATATTTCCACTAGACTATAGACTCTATTATTATAGAGTATGAATTTATTTTTTTCAAACACAAAAATTGGTGTGCAGTAGATGCTTGATAAACACTCAACAAATAAATACATTTCTGCTTATTTTTTGCAATAATTAAATAGCAGGAACATGTCATAAATTTGTTTCAAGATTAGTTAACTCTAAGTTTGATAGAGTTTAATGTTAAGAGAAATTACCGAAGGGGTAATAGGCAAACAAAGGTAAGATTTTGTGGTGGAAAAACATTTTTCAGGGGTGGCTATGAGGGAATATATTGGAAAGACCCTACCAAATGAAAAAGCACTTATGCACTTATATAGCATTTAATATGTGCAGGGTCCTGTTCTAAGTTCTATACAAATATTAACTTTTAAAATACTCATAACAACCCTATAATCTATACGCTTTTATTATCCCCACTTAAAGATGAAGGAATTGAGAAAGAGAGAGGTTAAGTTGCTCAATTTCATATAGCTAGTAACTGGCAGAGATGGGATTTAAACCCAGTAAGTTTGGTTTCAGAATCTGTGTTCTAAGCTACTATATTTATTTCTCCTTGAAAAAAAATGTAAGGTTATTACCATATTTTTCATATATAGGGCTGCATTAGTTTCTTTGGGCTGCTGTAACAATTGCCACAAACTGGATGGCTTATGACAACAGAAATATAGTCCCTCACTGTTCTAGAGACTAAAAGAAGTCCAAAATCAAGGTGTTGGCAGGGGTATGCTCCTCTGAAAGCTCTAGAAGAATCCTTCCCCTAACTCTGTGTAGTTTCTGGGGTTGCTCATAGTCCTTGGCCTTGCTTGGCTTATAGCTGCATCACTCCAATTTCCATGTGCCTTTTGTGTATGTCTTTCTGTGTTCTCTCCTTGTGTTATAAGGGCACCAGTCACTGGATTTAGGGCCCATTCTAATCCAGTATGACCTCATGCTAACTTGAGTATTTCTGCAAAACCCTTATTTTCAAATAAGCTCACATTCACTGGTGCTGGGGGTTAGCAATTGGACATGTCTTATAGGGGGCACAATTCAATCCACACAAAGGATCAGCCTTCTGTTAACATTAAGAAAAACGCTTATCATGAAAAACCAGTTACAGTAACATTCGATTGAATTTAATTTCTTAATCATGTTCCTTTCAAACTATTTAATAAAGTAATGAGGGAATTTACATGCTGGCCTGTAAATTTCTCACCCTAAGTTATTTTTGTGATGCTGGGATAGCAGACAAAAGGCCAGCTTGGAAGACATCTAAACCAGACCTCATACATCTCATTCTGTCACCCTGGCGCCAGGAAGCTTCCTCAAAGGGGAGGGAGAGGCCATTGAATGTTGGCATTGCCACCTTAAAGTGTTAAGAGTATTTTTCTCACAGTTCTCCATAAGTCAGGTTGGTTTTTGGATATTTCCCTTTAGACCACTGAGAAACTAACAACTGCTGGCCAGTAAAGCACCATCACTGCCTCTGGCTCCTTCACAGCTCATATTTCAAAACTTCATTAGAGAGCTGCTGCTGTGTGGACCTGAAGAGGAAAGACCCCTTTCCCCAATAATAACCTTTTAGAGAGATGAGTATACTCCTGGCAGTTAATAGACAACAAATTGAGATTTGCAGTATGAGTATACTCCTGGCAGTTAATAGACAACAAATTGAGATTTGCAGTATAACCAAAAAGATAGGTTTCTAAATGGTACCCTATCTTCCTTGAAATAAATTATGTTTGATAATAGAAATCCATCTTCCAGTTAGCAGGATGGGGTAGCCCACACAGCTAGAATGGTAGGGGGGCTGGAGAAGTAGGATGCTGGGGAAGAAGCATGGCACTCAGAGAAGAGTCTAGAATGGCTCCCAGGAAGCAGGAGTCACAAAGGCCCTAGAAGACTATCCTAGGAGAACATAATGCAGTAAAAGGCCATGCAGATGGCACATTACTTCTTATGTCACTGTCATTGAAAAATAATTGGCACAGCAAAAGAAATGGCATTAAGAGGGTGCTGGCAACATCAATAATATGAAAGGGAAATTTTACAATATGGGTGTTAAGCTTCTGAAATTTATAAACTCCGAGTTTTTCCTATGAAGGGAGATGTAAGGAACTTGGTAATTATTGCTTATTTTTTAACATTTAGGTCAATGTGGCAGATTATATTTTCCAAACTTATGGTAGTAGAGCTGGTGGAATGAGAGAGATTTTTGCAGCGATCTCAGGAAAATACAGTCTGATGTGGTCAGATATTTTCTTCCTTTTTGTGTAAGTACAAGTTATTTCAGCTGCTTAAAATACTCATCCTGTCTTTCCATGTATTGATTTATCTTTACAGCTCATTACTCCTGGTTTTCAATTGACATTTCATGGTCCCTGAACTTGGAAATTTGATCTTTAAAACTGTCTTATTTCCTACCATAAGAATTTGATCTTCAGGTTTACAGACATTGGTTATGTAAAAATGAATCAACACCTATAGAATTCCAGTGGAAGCTACTCCAAAAAGAGATTGACTAGTGGAACCTAAGATGCTTTTTATATGTGTTGCCACCCTGCCTGTCAACCTGGAATGGAAAAGCAAGTTTCTTTTATAGGCAGTTTATAATGAGATTGGAAAATGTTAGGGCTCTAGAGCAAGATGCCTGGATTCAAATTCAGGCCCTACACTTACCAGCAATAAAAGTTATTCAGCTTTTCTGTGCCTCTACTGAAACATCTTTAAATGAGAATAACAATGATACCAACAATAGAAGTTATAGTAATAACTTATAGTATAGAAGTTATAGTAATATAAGTAATACACATAAAGTGCTTAGAACAAGTTGTCACAAAGGCAACACACAAGAAATATTACATATTATTCAGAGTACTTTCCCACTGAAAAATTCACTTGAAGCTAGTGAGATGAAGAATTTGGGAATTTAGAAAGTTAAGACGAAAACGTAGAAGCACGGTGCCCACATGACATTGGATTAAGTCGTATCTGAGTTACTGCAGGAGAGTGGGAATATGAGGGGTGTTTAATTGGGTTATACAGAAGTAAGTAAAAATTACTTAATGGGAACTACATTTTTATTCCAGACTCTAAATAGGGAAATGACTTTTCCTGCCAAAAGTGGTTTAAAACATATCTTCCATTTTCTCTTCTTTCCCCCACCCCAATAAAATCTGGAGGTGGGCTCTGTCAATTTTCTTCAAAATGCCAACTGAGTTAAGGCAGTGGGCTGACATTCTCTCTTCCTACACTGAAGTATAACTTCTCTGTTCCTTTTGATACTCACATCAGATTCTACTGCATAGTTCATTAAAATTGGTTATAAAGAAGTTCACATTAGAGGATATGAATGAGCTCTCAACAAATCATTTTGAAATCTTGGGTTAAAAAAAGAACATATTGGGTATTGTTATGTAACCAGTTTGAGTTAAACATGGAACAATCAACAGGAAATGACTATAGTTTCTCACAATTCCTTGCTATTAGATCTCCCATCACCAACAGAAAATCATATCAGATCTGAATGTTTTCTGGCCACCTTCATTGTTAAGAAAGTCCCATTTTCAAGTATTAAATATCCAGTGAAATCTAATACTATAGTTCCAGTCTCATACCCAATCAAAACTTCTCTCACACCTCAGACGCCATTGCTAGAAAACCTGTAACAAAAAGTGGGAAGTGGGGGCCTTTTTACTCTCCATGTTCCAACACTCCTACATTTGCTCTGGTGCTTCTAGGTCATCATTCCTATATTTTCAAGGGTGGAAGGAGGTTGGTGAGAAGAAGAGGAGGTAAAAGGAGAGAAAGTTCTTACTTGACTGGTACTGTTTTAAAGTGAAAATTGTAGCTCTCTGGAAGGCCGGTGCCTAAATATCAATATTCTCTCTTGAAATTTCTTCAAATATCTCCCACATTCTCCTCTCCAGCTGCTCTCTTCTTGCAAATGTCCCACACAGATCTTGGAGTCACGCCATCCAGGCTCCAGCTTGCCTACATTACTCAACAACCTCTTAATCTAAGGAAAAACTCATATCTTTTTCCAGCAAACACTGGAAATAAAAGCCATCCCCTATGGAGCCCTCTCTCTTTGTTCTGCTTCTCAGCTAACACCAGACAGCTTTGAGCTATTTCTTTTACAGTGAGAGTCAGGCATGAGTGTTTATACCTCCCCACCCTTCGGATGATTCTCTTGGAGTCCTATTTATTTGGCTTAAGTTGAAGAAGAGCACATTCTCCGCCCCCTGCCCCCTCCAAGAAATGGGAGAGGAAAAAAAAATAGCACTCCAAAATTTTTCTTAAGGAAATCTTCATTTGTCAGTTCTCACCCATTAATTTACTAGCCTCCTTTTATGTATAGGCTGGAGGTGGTGATAGGTTAGATGTTTGGAACCAATTTGGGCCACCTTCCAACAAATTCTGCCTAGATGGTCTAGCACCTTTCTAGAATGTGTGGGCATTTAACACCCACTGTGCTCTGCTTTGGAGCCCCAGCCAGACATCAAAACCAGCAGGAACAGTCTCACTTACTTCCCTGCTACAGTTCTAAAATGGCGGCTGAACTGCCTATTAGGACCAAGGTTCTGACGCCCTTAGAAGAAACTGGCAGATGAACAGAAAGCTGACCAAATTTGAACTAGGTGTTTATGCATCACATTTATTCTCCGTAACTTTCACTCACCCATTCCACAAGGTTTTATTACTTACATATATTTGGAAAGCACCAGGAGTTATTCTGGAGAATTTAATTAAGTAGACGAGACAAACTTTCTTTGCTCTTGAAGGAAGATTATTTCAGAGACCCTTTACTGTAATGCAGTGCTTCCAAAATTTATGTATGCTATTAAGAAGGAAGTAAAAGTATAACCTTTGGTGTCTGAGAATATCATCTGAAATAGTGAATATCTTCATTCTTTATACTGGTAAGGTATGAATACCCTGGGGGGTTCATTCTTCCTCAAGAGTACACAAAAAGTGATGTTTTAAAGGAATCGAGTTTCAGATCTTCAACTCTCTTAAGTGCACAGAAACAAAATTGATCTGCTGAAGAAGGAACATGTAGTTGAGTTCTGCCTCTTTTCCTAACTTTTCTTCTTTTTTCTTCCCCAATTTACATCTTATTTCATGCCTCCTAGATTTTACCATCTTTCATTACTCTAGGAGGTAAAAACCCCAGAACAGCCAAAATGTAGCAATGATTTTCAAAATACTACTTTTGATTTTGAAAAGGTGAGTGATTCTGATGAATGGGAAAGAAATGATAAATATTTTGTGATTCAGTGTTTTCCAACTATTTGCATATAACAAAAGTTACAGGAGCACATAATTAAGCTGTCAGTTGATAAGTCATTAGTTTTTAGTGATAGATCACTATTTTGCTTTGTATACGTGATTACAAAATAATTTAAAGAATTGAGAGATATTGCTATAACCGCTTTCTTACCTATTTGTGTGAACAAGATTTCTTAAACTTCGCACCTGTAAAAAGAAAAACGATTAATGTTGAATACTATATCATTCTAACAAGTAACATACACTAATTATAAAAGTCCATTCATAAACATATATGCATTTAATACAATTTTACTGTTAATGTTTAATAAATATTAAAGTTAATATTGAATAACATATCCTTCATTATTTAATGGTTTTATATTTATATATAATACATTGTATATCTGTGCATGTCCAAAATGTTATTTTCATAAGGTTGCTCATTGCAGCATTATCTGTAAAAGCAAAAATTATCCATGATTAGGGAATTAGTTAAATAAACCCTGGTAAAGCTATACATGAAATACTATAAAACTATAAAAAGAAAGTAAAAAAGCTGCCTACCTAATAACTGACATGGATTGATATTTAGGAAATGCTGCTGTGTCGTGATGAACAATAACACCTCCCACCAAGATATCCACATCTTAATCTTCAGAACCTGAGTCTTGCCTTAAGTGACAAAAGGGACTTTGTAAATGTGATTAAATTCAAGCTCTTGAGATGAGGAGGTTATCCTAGATTATCTAGGTGGGCCCTAAATGTAATCTCAAATTGTTTCTGTTAACAAGGAGCTGAAGGGAGTTTTGAGGGCATAAGAGAAAACAATGGGAAGATGGAAAAAAATATTGGAGTGGTTTGGCTGCTGGCCTGGCCAAGGAGTGCCAAAGGAGCCTCTAGAATTTGCAAAGGCAATAAATATATTCTTCCTTGGAGCCTCCGGAAAGAACCATCTCTGCAAACCTTGATTTTAGCCTTGTAAAACTGATTTTTGACTTCTGACCTCCAGAAGTGTAAAGTAACTCATGTTGTTCAAGCCACTAAGTTTATGGACACTTGTTACAAGAATAATAGGAAAAAAATACCGTTGCTAAAAGAAAAAAAAAGTAAGTAAGTTTTATATGCTATGCATTCTTTTATGAAAGAACAGATAAGGGCAGAAAAGTGTGTATTTCTGTTTGCTCAAATATGCCTACAATTATACCAAAAAAATAAAAATAGCTACCTACAGGGGAAAGGAATAGAAACAAGACTTCTCAATGTTTGCCTTGTTATATTATTTTGGTTTTTGAACCAAGTGAAGGTATAAACTATTAAAAATAAAAAACGTAAAATTTAAAGAGGAAAAAGTGGAAGCATTTTATGTTGGAGGTCGGAAGCTCCTCAGGATTTTAGGATTTAGATACCGTTTTCTCTCTCAAGAAAGCTTGTTCTTCCCATCATCTATGCAATAATTCCAATTTGAAACTCAAATATCAGCAATGAAAGCTGAGAGAGAGAGAGAGAGAGAAACAAGATTCCAGTAGAACTGATTTGATGACAAACGGACAATTGGGTGATTTGTATATATAATGAGTAAATAAATAGATGAAGAGATATTTTTCATGATTGGAATTGAAATGGCTGTTATTTACTTTTTAACATCTATAGAGCTGACATACTGAAAAAAAATTGGGCTATATAAACTGTAACTTCAATCTTTCCCCCAAATTTGAAAAAATGTAGATCCTTTGTAGAAGAACATAAGACTGGAAATGAGTGATCTAAAATATTAAAAAAAAAAAAAAACCTCTCCTGTAGTTTGAGATAAATGTGTAATAAATGATTGAGGAGTGATGCACTCTGGTTAGTTATGTAGGCTGGTAAATCAAATTCCACTACCATTTTTAAAAAATAGATACCAACAAAATACAATCAAGATATTTTGAAACACAACCCAGAAAACAGGTGATCATTTGTTGATCATGTGATGTGTGTGTGTGTGTGTGTGTGCCCGTGGCATACATATTCAGGCCTAAGCACTGTTTCACAGTCCAGAAGACAATCAGAGCCACAAAGTCTGAGGTTGGTCATGAGGAGCATTGGTTTTCTGAGTGCAGCCTATGGATAAAGTAGGAAGACAGCTCTAGTGCAATGGAAAGGACACTGTACCTGAAATCAGAGAAGTGGGTTGGATTGGCTCTGCCACTGCTGTGAATCCCTAGTTAAATTATGGGACTCGAATTCTCATTTTCCTCCAAAAGGACAGTACCACACACTGTGCTATCGACCCATTCTATATCAATAGGCTTTAAAGGCACATTCTAGACCAAAGTGCTAGGCACACAGTAAAGGCACACAGTGCTAGCTTTAATTTTATCCCCATCGTTACTACTTATAAAACTTTAAATAAAGCTCTATGAACCAGTTTTACCATTTTTATAATGGGGAATAACCACAGCTCCTTATCAGGGCTGCTATGAGACTAAAATAAGGTATTATAGCACACACAGCACATAGCACATATAATTATAGTGAGCTGTAATTATACCACATCTCTATGTTGGGTTATTATCCAAATTAAATTAGTACCCAGATGTAAGCACTTTAACACAATATCTAACATGTCATAGATACCAAAGATAAGTATTTATTCAAGATGTTAGAAAGTTAGTGACTCTCCATTAAATGCATATGCTGCATTAGAACTTTAAAGTGGTAAGGTACAGTCTCTTTTCCTTGGGTGATGTCATACAAATATTATTGTCCTCATTTTACAGAGCAAAGCAATACCATATTTACTAAATCACAATAAATAGTTCATGTTGTCTCATGAACAAAAAGAATTCATGGGGACAATGGAATATTTGAAATTATCAATGTTGTTAGACTTCTCAAATCCATTCACTGCATAAATTTTAGAGTAATCTATGTTAATCACAAAAATAACCCCATTATTTCCATGTTTTAAATGTTTCGACAGTTCCCCTATATCACCTGCATATGAATTACAAACTACTTAGCAAAGTGTGCTGACTCTCTGTTATCTTATTTCCATCACACTGTAATCTCATTTCCATCCATTCTCTGCCTTATATTTTTTGATCTGGTAATTCCTCCTTACTTGAGCTGCCCTTGATGTAGGACTCTTGCTTTCCTTCATGTCTTCAGTTAAACTATCGGCTTTGCCTGGACTTCCCTGTCTGCTCCTATCTCCATGCCTTTTTCACTTGCTTAGTTCTTACTCATCCTTTAGAACTTAGCTTACATGTACTCATATCTCTTTTACCTACCTGCTCTCACTCCTTCCTCACCCCATCTCCAATTAGAATGTAAGCATCTCATGGTGGCTGTGATTATTTACCCTCAATTCCCCAATCTCTAACAGCACATAGGAAAGGGGCTTAAACAATCAATCACTGTTGAATTAATATAAAAATGAAGGAACTGAAGCCCAGAAGGTTTATGCAATTTGCCTGTTTCCTATAAGAATAAATGCCTCTATGTTGTCTGTAGAAGCTACAGAAAAATAGTATGTAAAAATATATGATATATAAATAGAATGACTAGATATAAATAACAACCAGTAATAGTTTCTTTCAATTTAAGTGCTTTCAAATATGAAGGAAAAAGGCATTTACCCTTTAAGAAGCAGGGAACTCTTAAACTAAATTATAAAAGAACACTCATTCCATCTGCATAATTTATTGATCAAAAAATCTGTTGGAATGTAATAGACATGTAAGTACCAAAGTAGTGTTTTCCTAATAGAAAAGAAAAAAATATATAAAGAAATATAAGAAACTTGAATTTTATTTCTATCTCTGTATTTGTTAATGTTCCTATTTGTCATGGAAAAGAAGTAGAAAACCCAAGCTGAACAACACAGGAAAATAAATTAAATCAACATTGGCATATTTAAAAAACAAATGGAAAGGAAGCAGCTCTTGCTTGTGCATAGAATGAGATTAGCAGAATACATTACAGACAAGATTCTCTGAAAGAGGGAGTAAAGCCAGCAGCAAAGCAATTAACATCTCTGATCATTTTCAAGTTTCCTAAAGAAACCCTACCAGACTGAAGCATGCACTCAGTCAGTCATGCTTTACTTCTCCAAGTTGGAAGCTAAATTAGTCAGAATAATGAGCAAATTGGTTAAATTTAGTAGCAATTCATAACAGTTGAAATTTATCATCAGAAATGTACTTTTGGTATAATACAACTATTTAACCCAAAATGGCCTCCTATGGAATCCCATGCTGAAATTTTCAGGCACCATAGTTTGGTTTGCCACCAAGAAAAATATCAGGGAAGAAGGAACACTAGATTTGGACTTAAAGAATGACACCAATCTCTATCAATTATCAGACTCATGACTTTATAAAGTGAAAGAAACACCCTCTACTTTTCTCATCTCATAAGGATGAATCAACATGAGGGGCTCAGAAGGCTACCATCACATTTCTTAGAATTAAGAATTGGCTCATTATCATAAAATAAAAGCAAAGCAGACCAGAAAATGGCATGGTGCTATTGTTGGTGGTGTTTCTGTTTGTTTGTTTTAGTTTCATTTGACCCAAATTTTCATTTGCTTGTTTACTTGCTATGATTTTAAATTATTTTAAATCTAATAAGAAGACCAAAGAAGATACAAGAGTCAATTATAAAATGATGTGTGAAAAAAGAGACCAGAATTCATCAGATCATATTCTGCTGCTGTCATTTCTGTGAAAAATAAAATTTAGATGAAAAAGAACAAAAAGAAAGCAATGAGAGGAAGATACCATCCAATATAAATAAATTCTGAAACCAACCAATTCTTCTCAGGGTGTCTCCTGCCCACATGATGATAATGATGCCAAAAGGTGGCAGAATCAATTAATATGATGATAAGATTTTGATCATGATTATGATTATTATTTGGAATGATGAAAAGGGGAGAAGTCCCAAAAACCGTAGTTATCATTAGGATTTAAGCTGGAAATAAGAGGGCAATGAAAGGAAGAGGTAGCAGACTTGTTGTCCTTAGATGACCTTATTTAGGTAAGTCATTAGCTATCTGCTATGTGTCAGCAAAAGATAAATCTGGTACCGAGGTGTTCAAGTTTCGTTTTTTGTTTTGTTTTGTGACGGAGTCTCGCTCTGTTGCCCAGGCTGGAGTGCAGTGGCACAATCTCGGCTCACTGCAAGCTCCGCCTCTGGGGTTCACGCCATTCTCCTGCCTCAGCCTCCTGAGTAGCTTGGCACTACAGGCGCCCGCAACCACGCCCAGCTAATTTTTTGTATTTTTAGTAGAGACGGGGTTTCACCGTGTTATCCAAGATGGTTTCGATCTCCTGGCCTCGTGATCCACCCGCCTTGGCCTCTGAAAAAGTGCTGGGATTACAGGTGTGAGCCACCGCACCCTGCCTGTGTTCAAGGTGTTCAAGTTTTAAGAAGGAAGAATTTCTGAATATATTGGAGCTTTTCAAAATTGAGATGAGTTAACAGATAGTGTGCTCTCTGCATTGATGATTTTCTATTGCAAATTTTATTATTGCCTGATAGCATCATAGAGGAACCTGAAGTATTATAAATTTGTTGAATTAAATTATTTGTTACCGTCTATGTTTAATATTAAACTTTTGATATAGGTAAAATGGGTTAATGGTCCCTGAGAGCTTGTGTGTGTGTGTGTAGAAGATGAAACAAAGTGAAAACACTTTGAAAGCAATGAGAGGACACACAATTATTAAATTCTATAAAAATTTGCCTCATGTTATTCATAGTTTAAAATTCTGGTGCAACCATAGAAATTATAAATTATTTTTATGCTATAAGGGAAATAAACAATCGGCATGTGACTAATATGGGAAACCTTGTTGATTAGTTCAAATAACCATAATCCAGGACATGCCCATTCACCTGTTGTTAGCTTATTACTGATATTAATTTTATACTGCTACTGTAATAAATGGCTATGAATCTAGTGGCATAAAACAATAAAATGCATTCCTTTCAGTTCTAGAGATCAAAGCTCTAAAATCAATTTTACAAGGCTAAAAATCAAGGTGTCAGTACAGCAGTGTTTCTTCTAGACACTCTAATGGACCACCTGCCTTTTCTAGCTTCTAAAAGCTTTGTCACAACTTTATTCATGGCCCCCTTCAAACTTCAAAGCCAGCAACTGTATTACCTCAACCTCTGGTTCCATCATCACGTTTCCTTCCTGGATCACTCCACTAAATAGGATTCTCACTTGGATGATTCAGGATAATTTATCTGGAGATCCTTAGCTTAATCACACCTGGAAAGTCCCCCTTGCCATGTGAAGTAAAAAATATTCACAGGTTCCAGGAATTAGGGTGTAATTTTGGAAGACGATTATTCAGCCCACCACATGACACCATAAACATTATGCTACTTAGGGTACTTAGGGGGTATGCTGATCATAAGCACTGTAAAGAACAGTGGTTTGACCCATAGGGTTCAGAAGAGGTCCTTAGGGTGTTGCCAAGGGACACAAGGAGGAAGTCAAGAGGGGGATGCTTTTGTCTTGACCAGGGAAATTCTGCTTGTATCTATGGTGTTTATTAATCTTCTGCATATGGTTTTATTTTCTTAAAAGGTTTCACTACTCAAAATTTTAAAAAGAAGTTTAAAAAGGTAGCAATTACACTCTCTTAAAATTTTAAATTATTTTCATGTCAGACCACAGGATATTTTCTATTATCAACACTCAGACTTATATCTCTCCTGGTGTATTAAAGTTCCAAAGCCATAATCAGCTTTTCTTGTTCTATAATGATAAAGTTACCAACCAACAAACAAAAGCAAATTGGAATTTTTTTTAGCCTTTACTGTTCAAACCTTTTTAAAATCGCCTTTAGTGTGGAATTTCTTTTACGTTGAATCCATTTCTTTTCTAAAAAAAAATAGTGCTTTATTTAACTTTGTTTTTAATTACTTCTAATAAAATAACTACAATACCAGACCACCATTGGAGACTATATTGTAAATGCCTAGAAAAATCCAATTAAACAATTATTTATTAGGCATTATACATAAGGCATTACACTTAGTACTACATAGGGTATAATTATGGGTAAGGTAAAGCCCTTGACCTCAAGAAGTGTATTCAAGTAGGAAAAATTAGAGGCTACACCTAGAGTTAACTACCCACCTAATAAGGCGAGAGATAATTAATAAGTGCCCCAAGCAAAGTCCAATTAAACAAACTTGTGGGCTGGGCATGGTGGCTCACACCTGTAATCCCAGCAGTTTGGAAGGCCAAGATGGACAGATCACTTGAGGTCAGGAGTTTGAGACCAGCCTGGCCAACATGGTGAAACCCTTTATCTACCAAAAATATAAAAAAATTTAGCCAGGCATGGTGGCGCACACCTGTAATCCCAGCTACTTGGGAGGCTGAGTCAGGAGAATTGCTTGAACCTGGGAGGCAGAGGTTGCGGTGAGCCAAGATCCCACCACTGCACGCACTCCAGCTTGGGCAACAGAGCAAGACCCTGTCTCAAAAAAAAAAAAAAAAAAAAGTCTGAAATGGCAGTGACTTTTAATCATGATGGTGGGCAAGTCAGATGCAGAAATTTACCTTTACACACACACACACACACACACACACACACACTCACTCCCAACATGTGGACATTTTGGTCATACATTCAAAAACAAAAACACTCAAACTTGAAAGTAGGAAAAGAAATAACCAATGGAGGTACAAAGAGCGATCTCTTACAGCTGAGTGGGAGATTAAGGAATATGATCTACACAGGATAGATAGGATCTATCTATCTATCTATCTATCTAATCATCTATATCTATCTATTTCAGATTGACTGAAGAATGAATTATGAGAAGCAAAAATAGCAAATAAGTTTGGAAAACTAAATTTAGATCACATTTCATAATGACACTAGAAAAGTCATTTGTTTCTACCCTTAGCATTCAATGAGCTGTTAGAATTGGGATGATAAATACCTTACAGGTATTTCTGTCTCCATTCTTCCCTGTATCTCTGTGCTAGACAGAAGCAGAAATCCAGTGCTCTTTCCCAGTGTGTCAGAGTTTAGTCATGGAATCACTCTTGACAGAGGGACCTAGGCAGGCTATGGCATCAATCACTCTGAGTCCATGAAGTAACACTCATCCACTATCGGTGCATAGGTGATTTTTGAGTATGAAATGGAAAGACTGGTGCTTAGCTTAAGAACAGGCAGATATGCATGTTTCAGGAATGGAAAAATCAGAAAGAATTGATGGAGGAGACAAGTTAAAAAGTAAAAAATATAATTAAAATAATATCTCAGATGAAAAATTTCTAAGGCCCTGAATTTAATTTTAGCTAGGGAGAATTTTGGATGAATTTTCTTAAAGTAAGTGGTCCAATGACTGCTTCAAAATGAATTTATATATATATTTGAGGTATAAACAGCAATAAGGCTGGTCATAATTATTTATTTTTTCCTTGCTATTTTTACAGAATAAACCATGGCTCAAATAATCAAGATGTCTCAAAATGTGTTTCCCACATGATTTAAATATAAAGGCCAGTTTTTTAAAAAATTAGTATAGGAGATGTTTTATTTTTCATCTTCACTACTCCCAAAAGGATTTAAGATGGGTTCAGTGATATATGTCATACAACAAGATAACATAAATTAGAAGGAAGTTTTTTTAAAAGTTAAACAATGAGTCAGGACAAAAATTAGAATTAGAAATAAACCTAATACAAAAAATAGATTCCAATCAAATAAGAAGGAAAAAGTGAAGAATTACTGTTATTTTCATTATAACTATTCAAAATTCAAAAGAGAGAAGAGGAGAACTTGAAGGCAGTAGGAGATCCAAAGAATGGGATGGATATTTCAGATAAAATTATGCTAATGAATTCACAGAATGTTTAAGTTTCTGCTTGGGATGTAAAAAGGACCCCGACTTTAATACAGTATCTAAACTAGAGAAATTATAAATTGTTATTTAATTCTTCATTCTACCTGAAAGTCACTGTTGTTAAGTTGGTTTTGTCTTTGGTTGTTTTTGATTTTTTTTTAAAGATTTTTTGAAGGTGGGTAGGGCAACAGGAGACAGGTGATATGTGTATATGTGTAACTTCTTGCATAAAATTTGCCAAAGATTCATCACTGTATTTGCAAATAAGTAGGAAATTGCTTCGAAAGTTATCAGAAAATTATTCTTCACATATAGAATGTTTGTTTTCATATCAAGAGGCCTACGATCAGAAATGTATAGGTATGAATTTGAGTCAGATGCCGTTGTGAATACATTTTAATTTCAATATTCAAAAGTAAAAAAGATATAATGCATTACAGTAGGATAAGACCAATTTTCTCCAATACTAATATGAGAATTCCATAAATGCTAGGTCTTAGTTTCTTAAATATTCACCATATGCCTTCACATTCTAGTGTCCTATATGTATGTATATCCATGTGTCAGTGCTGTATGTACAGGCAATGAAAAAATATAATTTCTTACATACACATAGTACATTTTTAGGCTGTTTTGTTCCCTCTGTGGGGTGGTCAGAAGTCATAACTAAAACATTTTATTTAAGCAACCCTAACAACATATGAACATATATGAGATAAGCATTAATACTTTCCACTTGAGAAAGAGAGTAGAAAAGCAGAAGAATAGTCATACAGAGCTATTTGAAAACCTTTACCCTGGACTCATAGATATTTTTGTCTGCTGTGCCACATAAGTTGTCTGCGTCAATTGCTCTGAGAGCAGCAAAGCCTCTTAGATAAAGAAAACTTATTTCATAGGGGCTCTAAAAATGCATCAGCTTAGTTGTTGGAAATGGGATGACAATTCTATCAATTTCTTCAACAGAGTTCACATTTTGCCAAGAATTAAGATGCTCTTGGCCATTTACTTTGTTTTTCCATTTTAAAACCATATTTGCTACCAAGGAAACTTGATCTGCATATCATATTTTTTAAGTTTAATTCACTGGATTAATTTGGATAGCCCAGTTTATGCTGCAGTAATAGAATAATCCTGAAATCTCAGTGACTTATTACAGCAAGTAGTTTCTTTCTTGCTCAAAGGACACATTCCATGTGAATTACTGGGGAAAATCCCTCTTCTACACAACTACTCAGTGACCCAAGTTGTCAGAAACTACAGTATCTTGTAGCTGCTCCATTGCCTCATTGGTTTCAATGACAAAGCAGAGGGAAGTTGGAGAGTCACGCACTGGTTCTTAATTGTTTCAAGTCATACTTCTTATTTCCACTCACAATCCATTGGTCAATATTAGTTCCAACGATGAAGGAAATGTGGATTGCATATGGATGGCCAATGAGTAATGACTGTCTCTGCCATAATCACTAAATTTATTTGATAAACTGAAAATATTCTAAGATTTTTTTCAAAATAAAGCCTTTTTATAAGGCTTTTTTCTGCAAAAGTATAATATTAGGAATTGAAATTCATCCTATGAATTCATTTTTAAGAATCTGTTTCTAGAAGAACTAAAAGAAAACTAGTCATCTTTCTTTGAGTGAATTTCTACACTAAGAAAGCAAATTCTCTTCTGAGTTTAGTCCCTTGAGTAATTTTACCACAATGAATTTTAAGATTTTTGCTGATTTAAATAAATGATAATATCACCAAACTGAGACTTACCAATTTCCCGTTACCAAAGAGTCTTTTTTACAACTGTTCTTATACTCATAGGCTCTTCGCATACCAACAAAAAAGTGTTATATCTTCTCTCTATGTAACTACATACCTATAAGTAACTACATATATATAAAACATATACATAATATATCAATACTATTATATAAACCACTATATACATATAAAACTATAAAACTATGATATATATACCATACACCCCTTTTTGGCATCCGTCGGGCATATTACATCATTTAGAAAATAATTGCAGCTGATTTTGTTTTTACTACTGACATAATCAAAATAAAATTAAATTCAAATATAGGAGAATAAAAATTATTTAAGTTTTCTATATCCTTAGATACACAATGGATGAGGAACAAAACAACAAGATTTGGGTTTAGAGTTTGTCATCCGATAGTTCATATTTTAGGAAAGAGATGTTTCATTGCTTTCTGAGCAGTGCCACGTCACCCCAGGAGAAAATCAGATTCTGAGGGCTGACTTCTTTTTTCACGTGGCAGAAGAGAAGTGATAATGGATTGCTATCTTTAAAAATGTGGCCACACTGGCTATAGTCATCAGAAATTTCCTAACCTACTTTGACAAGGCTGTTCAGCTAGGTCCCTTGCTGAGTAACAGTGTTTCTATCCATGATCTTTGCCAATTATTCCAATGTAATTTTTATTTCATCCAAAATAACTTTACCCAGAGGGGGAAATAAATAGAATAGTCATTTGAAATTATACAACAATTAGGTAGAAAATTAATGCCTCATCCAGACTTTTAATCATTCGTCTCGCATTCAGTATAATCAAGGTCATTTAGTATTGCTGATGCTTTTCTTTAATGTAATTACTGAAATATCAGGTCCTAGAATGGATGAAGAATTGACTGCCTTCATCAACATTCATCCTAGGGTTTGTAATAGGAAACACTGAAGGCAAAACAGAAGTCTTTTTGGTGAGTAGTATGAATAATAATAAACAGGACTTTCTCTGTTTTTCTATAAGCCCATTAATTGTTTCAAAATATATATTCATCTTATGTCCACAAATGGATGATATTGTGTTTATCATACATTTTTAAGTTAGGTTATATTTAGAAGTATTTAATTGTACATTGAAACAACCTCAATGTTCAAAGATAAATTTTAAAAAATGTTGGAATGCAGATGTCATTAAAAATAATGCTTGTTACCTGGCCAGTTGTTCACAATAACTTGTAATGTACAAAGATGTGTTATATGACAGTTTCTGTTAATATATATTTGCATATGAAACATACGTACAGTATACAATAAAATGTTTAAAAGGGTATTTTTAACGTTGGTCTAGTTTTATGTTGATCTGTTCTTCGTATATGAGATATAAGGTTAAGGCAGTAATTACTGTGCTCTTTGTACAAGGCACTATGGTATTCACTTTATCAAAAAAACATTATTTGATCTTAGCAACTACATTATGAATTGGATGAGATATGGTTATAAAGTATATGTATAAATGAATTAAATACATATGCCAAGAATGTGTAGTTAATTTGTGAAGAAGTAGAGGTTTGAATCAGATAGTCTGCATGCTTGGTGCCTGCATGCTTACTACTGTACTATCCCCTGCAGATTAAAATAAACAGTTATTTCTTAGGTAATGAAATAAAAAAAAGGTGGAATAAAAGTTGAAAACTGAACATTCTTTTATGAATGAATTCATGTGCTCAAAAGCATATTTAAGGTACCATGTGAAATGATGAATATTGGGACCAAGGGGTAAAACTTCAAAATTCTGTAGATAAGTTTTTCAGTATTGACTTATTCCTGAGGAAACATAAGGTTATATAAATACATTATTTTTGGTTCTTATTTAATGTGTTTATTAAATTAACAGCTAAGCTAATAAATTTTATCATTTTTAAAAATAAATCATTGTAGAAAAAAGAGAGAATTGTGAACTGAGGAAGTGAAAAAGTTTGACATTTTTCTTTTTCGTTTCTTTATCTGATTATGTTGAGAAAAAATACAAGTCATATGAATTACAAAAGTTTTAAAGCCTTCCTGAAATTAGTTATGCTGTTTAAAAAAGGTGGGTGGGGGACCAGGCATGGTGGCTTACACTGTAATTTCAGTACTTTGGGAGACAAGTTGGAGGATTGCTTGAGGCCAGGAGTTTAAGACCAGCCTGAGCAACAGTGTGAGACCCTGTCTTTAAAACAAAAAAGAGGATCACTATTTAGTGACATCTGAGCCTTGGCATAAAGATGCTTTACTATAAATGATACAATAAATATAGAAAATAAAGAGAAAATGCTAAAAGGGACTGAACATTCTAGACAAAATTACCTTGGCATGCATTATAGTCAGCCTAATAGACTAAACTTTTGTAATATTTGGAATAATAATTTATCAAAAACCAATTTAAATGTTTTACCACACGGTAAGAAAAATTTTAATCTGAATGTGAAGACAATAAAGCTAGTAGAAAGTTACTGACTTTCTTTCAATTTTGTATATTTCAAGTGAATTTTTAATAATGTTTTATAATTACACAACAGCATTCAAGTTTAAAAGACTTTATACTCATGTAAATAAGTAAGTTTTCACATAAAAAATATAATTGATAAGATTATGACCTCTTGTGTTACTTATGTCTACCATGAGAGAAAAAATTTAGCCAAAAATTAAATACAGAAATAAAATAAACAGTACATGCAAGAGAATGCAAATGGAAATCACCTACATATGTAAAGGATGAGGGAGAAATAACTTAAAAGAAATAATTGTATAAAATATATATTAAAAATGCAACATAGGAGTTTTATTGAAAAGGCAGTACAATGTTTATCAAGAGATTGTCCTGTGACTCTCAAAATGAGTGTCCTCAAAGACAGTACTTATTAAACTAATTGCTATAGATAGATAAATATAGTGATCTAGACATGGACTGTAATAGTATTATAGTAATAGAGTCAATATCCTTAACTTGATAATAATATCTATGAAAACCTACAGATAACACATTTACTTGTGAATGCTTTTACTACTGAATGCTTTCTCCTTAAGATAAGAAACTAGACAAGGATGTCCATGCTCACTACTTAGATTTAAAATTTTATGGGATATCTTGGGTAGTGCAATAAGCCTGGAAATAAAAAAAATTATTCTCAGATGACATGAATATGTATGCAGAGAATTCTAGGGATTATAGAGAAGAAACTCTACTAGAACTAATAACTGTGTTTAGCAAGGTCATAGGATTTAAAGTCAATATTAAGTATATTTCCATTTACTAGGAGTTAAAATATAAAATATGAATATTAAATATATTTACCATAGAATCTCAAAACATGTAATAGAAATGAAGTAAATTATATTTTTTAAAATTTCTACACCAAAAACAATAAACTATCAATAAGAGAAATTAAATAAGACCTAAGTGGAAAGATGTACCATGTTCATGAATCTACACACTCAGTTATGTAAAGCCATCAGTTTTTGACAAATCCAACTATAGATTCTAAGCAATAGGAACTAAAACCAGTAAGCTCTTTGTAGGAATTGACAAACTGATTCCAGAATTTATATGGAAATGCAAGAGACCTAAGATAGTCAAAATAATTTGGAAACAGTTAGAAGACATATCCTGCCTAATTTCAAGACATATACCTTCATCCATTCAGGATGCTGTAACAAAAGATCATAGACTAGATGGCTTATAAACAACAGAAACTTATTTCTCTCAGTTTTGGAAGCTGGGCAGACCAAGACCAGCAAATTCTGTCTTTTGAGGACCTGCTTCCTAGTACAGACAACTATCTTCTCCTTGTGTCCTCACGTGGTCAAAGGGACTTTCAAGCCTCTTCTGTAAGGACAGTAATCCCATCCATGAGAGTTCTGCCTTCATGACCTCATCACCACCCAAAGGCTCACCTTCTAGTACCATCATATTGGGAATTAGGTTTCAACATATGAATTTTGGGGGGACACAAACCTTCAGTCTATAGCAACATACTAGAAAATGACCATAATAAAGATAGTGTAATATTGTTTTACAGATAGACATAATGTATGCAAAAGCAATAAAATCAGATTAATATAGTAAATTGATTTTTAACAAAGGTGCCAAGGTAATTAAATGGTGATTTATAGTTTTTACACTAAATTATGCTGAAATAACAAACATCCATATGGGGATAACGAAATGAGCATAGACCACTACCTTATACCATAAGCAAAAACTAACTTGAGCCAGATCATTGGCTAGGCAGCAAAGCAAATAATATACAGCTTCTAGAAGTAAACAGAAGAAAAATCTTTTTGACCTTGGGAAAGATATTTTTTTTTATATAGAACACACTAAAAAGTGAAGACCACAAATAAATGTTAGATTTAATTAAAATTTAAACGTTTTGCTCTTGTAAAGATACCATTAAAAAAATAAAACGGTAGCCGGGTACAGTAGCTCACACCTGTAATCCCAGCACTTTGGGAGGCCAAGGCAGGTGGATCACCTGAGGTCAGGAGTTTGAGACCACCCTGGCTAACATGGAGAAACTCTATTTGTACTAAAAATACAAAAAATTAGCTGGGCCTGGTGGTGTGACTGTATGTAATCCCAGCTATTCAGAAGGCTGAGGCAGGAGAACTGCTTGAACCTGGGAGGCAGAGGTTGCAGTGAACCAAGATTACGCATTGCACCCCAGCTTGGGCAACAAAAGCGAAACTCCATCTCAAAAATAAACAAATAAATAAAATTTAAAAAATAAATAAAAATAAATAAAATGGTAAACCACAGACGAAGAAAATATAGACATCTGACAAATGAGTCGTATTTAAAATATACAAAGAATAATTTAATACTAATTTTAAAAACTCAATTCAAACTTAAAACATTATTTCAGCAGACATTTCATCAAAGAAGATAAGTGAATAAATGATAACATGAAAATGCTCAACATTACTAGTTATCAGGAAAATAAAAATTAAAAACCTTAAGGAGGCACCAACATGTACCCATTAGAATGGCTAAAAAAAAAAAAAAAAAAAAAAAAAAAAAAAATAGACAATACCATGTATTGGCCTGAATGTGGAGTAAGTGAAATTCTTTTATATTGTTCCTGGGAATGTAGATTAGTACAGAGTTTTGTCAAGTGTAGCAGTAAAGGAACTAGTTTTAACTCTAACCTAGATTTTCCAATGTCCAAAATTAGAATAACTACTGGCAACTCTTTGTGAAGTTATTAGTCCATGTTATAAAATTTTGGGAGGGCTTATTTATAGAATTGAAGTCTATTATCACTCTTTCTGACAGTAAACTGCATATCATATTATCTATTTATTGAATATATTTCCTGTCTCTAAAGAAAATTTTATCAACTGATTTCAAGGCAAAGGTGTGTACCATACATAAAGCTGCAGACTAGATAGAAACTGAGCTACTTGATTCCTAATCCTGGCTGTATCCTTTGTGTCCCTGAAAAAGTAATATGAACAATCAGAGGTTTAATCCTTTACATTGTAGAGTAATTCTAAGTAAAATTTTTAAAATATGTAAAATAATATTTTTATATTTTTTGCATCTTGCTGAATAGTAAACGCACAATACCAGCTTACCACATACTTTTCAGTACTTTACGGGAAAGAGAAAGAAGGCTTTAAATTAAGAGAAAGAGAACAAGATCAGCTCCATAAAAAATTATCTTCAGATTGTTGCATGAATCGTAAGAATCTACTAGTTTCCAATGGCACAAAATTACCACAAAATCTAATTTATTGCACAAAGCAGGGGAAGGAGAGAAGAAAGGGGAGGAAGTTAATTCTACATCTGTGTGTCCCCCTCATTGGCTTAAGCTGAAGCAGAGTAAGGCAGGAGACCCTTAATGCTTGTGTCAAAGCCTTTGTTAAATCGTGGTTGAAGGCCCACCCACAGATGATCACTTTTGCTTATTTGATATGCAGATGTTGGTTTTGGAATTAAAAACAAACCAAGGCTTATTTTTAAATGAAGAGACCTGCAGCTATGGTTAGAAAAGATAGAAAATATTCCTCTTAGTTAGCTTGTAACTTTAACAATTCCCCAGAGCACTAGTAATTTTCAAAGCCAGGAATTCTTACCTCTCCCCTCAGTCCATTTACAAAACAGCATCCTATATATATAAAAAAATCTGTAAATAAAATCATAAAATATAGTGGTTAATAATATTATTATTTAAAAAATCTCCTAAGGTCCTTGTTTTGTATTTTATAGATCATAAAGTCAATTCCTTCTCCTGAGATGAGGTGAAAAATTAATATCATAAAGTACTTAAATATGCTGAATTCTATCCTATAGGAGAAAACAGAAATTCATTATTTTACTTTTCTTTTGTTCCAAAATAAAATTCAGGCTAAAATTTTTTCTGCTACTTTATAGTAGCATGCTACTACTATATATGCAGTATTTAACTCATACAGCTGCATGTCCAAAAAAGTCATTTAAAATTAGTGTAATCAAGCACCACTTTAAGAAGAAAAAATTTATTCCCAAGATGATATATTTAACCATAATAATATAAGCAAAATTAAGTTTTTCGGCTTATAAACTGGCCTATGTTTACATTTCTCTTCTATTGATAATATGAAGTCTATTTTGTTGCCTCAAAAAAGGCAAGCTTGGTGGGAATTCTGCATGTCATATTAAGGATTTTATTTTCAAATAAAAATATTAGTTTTGACAAAAAATTAAATATAAAAAGACTGTCACTGTGAAAGAGAAGAGGATCTAAATTGACAAGCCACTCCAAGAGATGCCCAATATATTTTTTACATAAACTCTCTACCTGCCAACAGTGGATGTTTTTTAAGGAGGCAACTTTTTCTCTGAAAAGATCAGTGCAGTATATGCTTCATGTAAGCATTTTCTGATTATCAATTTGTCATTAATTTAGAGCATATCTAGAGAATGTGAGGATCAAATAGATGGGAAATGACCCTGCTGACTGTCAGCACTGCATGCTTGCTTAACTGCAATCCACAGCATTGGGCAGAATCTTAGAATACATATAGAAGATGGGATAGGACAAGAAACCTCCAGGCAAGAAGACAGTGAGTCAGTTATATAGCTGATTAACCAATATTCCATCATGATTTATGATAAGTACTCTCCTATACAACTACTGCAGCCTTAAATTTTCCAGCAAACCCAACCCAGCAGATAGTTTTCTCTCAAATAAAGACTGTGTATAGGTAAGTGGAAAAGTTATTTCAAGGTGAAATAGTGATCTCCATCTGTTCATCCCTGGGGGAAAAATTTATATTTTTGTCAGCAGAAGCAATGAACTGGAAAAGTGTGACAGACAGTAAATTGGGGCTTATGCAACATTTCATGACTACAATTTGTGTTCATTTGTCCCTCTGTCAAACTGAGTCCAGTTAAAGAACTATAAGGTATAAAACTAAATCTTTAGGAATAGGTAGATTTCAAAAATCTTAAAATTTATTTTTCTTAACCAAAAATTTAAAATTGTCTTCCATGTTCTTCAGTATTATATGTGTGTGGTCTACATTTCCTTCCCCCTTCTCTGTTTCCTTATCTCTCTACCTACTTTGACCATGGCATCTTATGGCTCATTTATACCTCTTGCCGTTCCTTTCCATTGTATTTGTCCATTCCATTATCTCTCATGTGGCCTCACTCAAATATAAGCAGGCCTTCAATGTAAATCTTTTTATTAAAACTATTTTAGCTACAAATGATAACTTTAAAATTTATTATAAGAATAGTCCTGTATTGTGAATTTGACTCAGCAATTAATACTCTTCTATTAAAATAATCTATTAAGAAAGAAAATGCTTAAACAAGTTAATTCATACTTAAAATTAATTTTTCACAAAGCAATTCAATGGAGTAAAGGAATATTATTTTAATGAATGTCACTGAAACAACTGGATATCCATATGGGGGAGAAAAAGCCTTAACCCATACCTCACACCAAATACAAAAATTAATTTGAGTTGAATCATAGACTTAAGCATAAGAGCTAAATCTATAAAGCTTCTAGAAGAAAGTGTTCATTACCTAGGAGTAGGCAGACATAGAACACAGAAAGCAAGAATCATAAAAGAATATAATAATAATAAATTATGCTTAGTCAAAATTTAAAACTTTACTGCTTAACAGACGAGCATTAATAAAATAAATAGGTATGCTACAAATTGGGATAAAGTATTAAATACATCTTACAAAGGATTTATAGTCAGAATATATAAGGAACTCTCTATATTATATCTATATAGTAATCATGCTAGATATACTTTATATATGGCATAACATGTAGTAATAAAATATGTTTTGTTACTATAAATTAATGAAAGGACAATTCAATAAAAATAGGCAAAAGACTTTAACAAATGACAATGAGATAACACACACACACAAACACACCCTACTATCATAAATTTAAAAATCTGACAAAATCAAATGTAGATGAAGATGTGGAACAACTGGAACTCTCACACATTTGGTGGAAGTATAAATGACACAACACCTTTGGAAAAAGCTTTGGCAATCGATTATAGTGAATCCGTCTTGTGACCTAGCAATTCTGTTCCCAGGAATTTTACTAAGAAAAAAGAAAATATCTGCCCATAAAAAGATGTATACAATAAAATAATTTAAGATGCATCTCTCCCTGCAGGGACTGTTAATTCTATATATTTATTCTTTCATTTATTCTACAAATATTTACTGAGAATCTTCTATGGTCATATTACTTTGCTGGCAACAAAGAAAGAAATGTAAGTCATGGTCTTGCCCATCTTGGGGCTCACAATCTAATTAGCAAAAAGAGGTTTACATATATGAAAATATTAATATAAAGTAGCATGTCATCCAGTATCAAATAAATGATCCCCCAAAAATAAAATGGCAAGGAATAAAAAGTGATTATCTAGGACATTCCTAAGAGTGTCGAAGATCTGCTAGATTTATTCCCCTTCCTTTACCTCTCCACACAAAACATCAAGCAATAATCTTTAAAAAAAAAAAAAAACACCTCATTTTAACTTAAAACCCCATAATTTTTGAGAGGAGAAGGACCTCAAAAATCATCTGTTCTTGCCCTTTTTTCACAGATAGGAAAATTAAACTTCAGTGAGATTACATGATTAGAATGAAACGTTATATCCCTGTGTAGTTTGACATAGCATTGATGGGAAAGTATAGACAAGGAGTGACAAACCACTTCTCTAATTTTCTGGATTTTTATCTAATATGCACATTGAAGGAAAATCTGGAAGAGAAATAGGGCAGGGATAGGGGAGTTGATGATACATTTGATTTGGGATAGGTTATTTGAGTTACTTTCACGCCATCCAGGAGAAGGCATCTCAGAAGCAGACCAACTCATGGCTAAATGGTAGCCATGTTCATTGAATGCTTTTGTGTCAGACACTGTACTAAGCACTTTGCATAACACTCTCATTTAGCCTTCTCAACAGCTTTTTGTGATAAACATTATTACTGCCCTTTCTCATGAGGAAATTGGGGCTCTGGGAGTGAAACAACTTGCTCACATTCACAGAGATGTTAAATATTTGAGTCAGGATTTCAATTCATTTCTTTCTGAACCCAGACCATCATTATTCTTACTGCAAGTTTTCCCTTCAGAAAGCTCAATGTTCCAACTTCCAGCTTAAGGGTGGTTGGCATCATCTAATGTGGCATCCTAAAATTTCTCTTAATTAAAGTACTATGACAACAAGGAGGAAGACAAAAGAAAGCATAATATGATAATATCACAATCAATATTTCAAAAATATGCATATAATTTCTATTATAAAGGGTGACATACTGAAATAAAAATTATAATTGGCTGCTCATCATTTTATTAAGCCAAAAAAGAATAGTTAGTATACATGTTTGTTGACTCTGTTTCAGGAATTTGAAATTTCCACCAATCAGAACATTGAACAGGGATCCTTTTACTGTATGGCTGCCTTTGCATATACCAACGAACTCACGTGTTCACCTGTATCTGCATCGATTAGAAATTGCACTTCCAGGAAATAAAAGAAAAGTAAAATAAAAACAACACAGAAAGAAGAAGGAAGCCCGAGAACGATATTTTAAACTAAAAGTATGGTATCAAATTAAAGTACTTTAAGTAGAATTGGGCAAAGAAAGAGACCTGTTAGAATGTACAGTTAGGATTGGATTGTTTTAAATCATTTTTTCAAGTAAGACAAGAAAACATAAATGCATATGTATGCATACATATAAGAATTATGGCCATGTATTTCAGATGTTCTGAATATCAGAGAGCCAAACAATGCAGTTCTATTGCATTTCCATTTCAGGTAAGATGAGCCACAGAGGATAAAGGCTGGCCTCTGAAACAAAACTAAGAGTCATACCCACTTTGAATGAGTATGGAAGACATACCTACTTACACACCATTCATCTATAGAACAGAGGAGAGATTTCACCAGCACCTAAGTGGGCAGAGAGGGAAAAAGGCAATGCACAAACTACCATGTGACAATCTGTAAATTCAGGATAGATTTCACTTGAATGCTTTTTGAGATACTGGAAAACAGTACAGTTCAAGGAAGTTTCTAATTGAACTCAGAAAAAATGATCTCTAAAAAGATCTAAAAAGTTTTGGAAAAACAACTTTTATCTTAATAAGATGCTAAATGTTGTAATCTCTAGGTAACAGGAGCAGATATGCCTAATGCATAGGTACAGATAAAAGACTTCCTTTTAAGATGAAAAGAGTGATACTGGAGAAAATTGCACGGAAATTAAAAGCAAAATGCTGCATTGGAAGTCGTGAAAACAAAACAGATTGTAGGAGATGGAATCAATTACATGAAAGACAAGCAAGCTCTCCTTAAAGACAAGGAGAAACTTATTGAATATCAAATAATTAGACTGAAATAATAGAAATACAGGCTAGATAATTTATGCCAAAATTATAGGTATTTCTGAAAATGAGACTGGAACAAATGGAATAGAAACAATAAGATGTTTAATAGAGAAAATTCTTAGTGATAATTAGAGATCTAAATATACAGATTAAAATAATTCATAAAGTTTCAGAAAATATCAAAGGAAAAGCACCCATATCAATATACATGTTGACAATTTTTTAAATGTAAGAATAAAGAAAAAAAGGTAATTTCCAACAAAATAATATTGAAGTTTTTCACAGACTTCTCTGCAACTCTAGATTTTATATGAAAATGGTACCAGATTTACAGTGTTTAAAGTAAAAGGATGAAATTACATTGGATACTTCAAAATAGCAACACTGAGAAAAAGAATTGAGTGTAAGTTGTTTATTTCGGAGATAACCCCAAAAAAACAACAATAAGTAGTAGAGAATTGAGATGGAAAGGTGTTGTGTGCCTTATCAAGCAAATTTTCTCCACAGGTTATTATAGGCCAATCTTTCCAGGGTACCCTGAAATGGTGTAAAACATGCACTTCACAGGTATACCACTTTATTAGTCCATTCTCACACTGCTATAAAGAACTACTTGAGTCTAGGGAACTTATGAAGGAAAGCGGTATAATTGACTCACAGTTCTGCAGGTTGAACAGGAGGAATAGCTGGGGAGGCCTCGGGAAACTTATAATCATGGTAGACGGTGAAGGGGAAACAAGGCACAAATTTACATGGCCAGCAGGAGACAGAGAGCGCAAAGGGGGAAGTGCTAGTAAAGGGGTTACAGGCCCCACGCAAGTCCAAAACCCAGCAGGGCAGTCATTAAATTGTAAAGCTCCAAAATCATCTCCTTTGACTCTGTCTTACATCCAGGCCACAATGATATAAGGGGTGGGCTCCCAAGGCCTTGGGCAGCTCTGCCCCTGTGTCTCTGCAAAGTACAGCCCCTCCCCAGCTTCTTTCACGGGCTGGTGTTAAGCACCTGTGGCTTTTATGGGCACATAGTGCAAGCTGTCAGTAGATCTACCATTTGGGGTTCTAGAAGACAGTGGCCTTCTTCTCACAACTCCACTAGGCAGTGCTCCAGTGGGGACTCATGTGAGGGCTCAAACCCCACATTTCCCCTCTGCACTTCCCTACTAGAGGTTCTCCATGAGGGCTCTGCCCCTTCAGCAGACTTCTGACTGGATATCCAGGCATTTCCATACATTCTCTGAAATCTAGGTGGAGGCTTCCAACCTCAACTCTTGCCTTCTACGTACTCATAGGCTGCACACCACATGGAATCTGCCAAGGCTTGTGGCTTGCACCCTCTGGAACAGTGGCCTGAGATGTATCTGGGGCCCTTTTAGCCATGACTAGAGCTGGAGCTGCTGGGATACAGGACACCATGTCCTCAGGCTGCACAGAGCAGTGGGTGGGGCCTTAGGTCAGGCTCACGAAACCAATTTTCCCTCCTAGGCCTTCAGGTCTATGATGGGAGGGGCTGCTACAAAGATCTCTGCAATGCCTTGGGTACATTTTCTCCATTAACTTGGCTATTAACAGTCAACTCCTCTTTACTTATGCACATTTCCATAGACAGCTTGAATTCCTTCCCAGAAAATGGGTTTTTCTTTTCTACCACATCTCTAGGCTGCAAATTTTCTAAACTTTTATGCTCCACTTCCCTGTTAAATATAAGTTCCAGTTTCATGTCATTTCTTTGTTTATGCAGGTGAGCATAGGCAGCCAGGCCACATTTTGAATGCTTTGCTACTTAGAAATTTCTTCTGCCAGATACCTTAAATCATCATGCTCAAGTTCAAAGTTCCACAGATCTCTTGGGCAAGGGCACAATGTGGTTAGTCTCTTTGCTAAAAACATAGACCAAGTGACCCTTACTTCAGTTTCCAATAAGTTTCTCATCTCCATCTGAGAACACCTCAGCCTGGACTTCATTGTCCATATCACTATCACCATTTTGGTTACAATAATTTAATAAGTCTTTAGGAAATTTCGAACTTTCCCTCATCCTCCTGTCTTCTGAGCCTTCCAAACTGTTCCAGCCTCTGCCTTTTACCCAGTTTCAAGGTTGCTTCCACATTTTTCAGGTATCTCTATAGCAATGCTTCACTTCTCTCTGATACTAATTTTCTGTATTAGTTCATTGTCACACTGCTATAAAGGCATACCTGTGACTGGGTAATTTAAGAAGAGAAGAGGTTTAATTGACTCACAGTTCTATAGGCTATACAGGAGGCATGGCTAGGGAGGCCTCAGGATATTTACAATTATGGCAGAAGTTGAAGGGGAAACAAGGCACATCTTCACCTGGCCAGCAGGAGAGAGAGAGAGAGAGAGAAAGAGAGAGAGAGAATGAAGGAGGAAATGCTACAAACTTTCAAACAACCAGATCTTGTGAGAACTCTATCATGGAACAGCACTACAGGGATGGTGTCTAAGCCATTAGAAACCACCCCATGATCCAATCACCTTCCAACAGGCTCCACTTCCAACACTCGGGATCACAATTCAACATGAGTTTTGGGTGGGGACACACAGCCAAACCATATCATCTGCCTAAGAGGAAAGGAGACTGAGGTGGATAAAACCAACTCCTAGCACTCATTGGTGGAGGGCTGCTTCTGTGCAGTGTTACTTTTAAGGCACTTCTCACTTGCTGCATACACAGGCATAATGAGCAGGGTGGGCTCTCACAGCCAGAGAAGGTCCTCATGCAAAGAGATGCAGATGCTGACAGCTACAATCCTGGTTGATGTGCCAGAAATGTAATTGCTGAAGGGATATGGGTGGGCATCAACAGCAGCTGCTGCAGTCAAGAATTTTAGAGTCACTGAAATTGTCTCTTACACTTAAAGACAGCAGGACATGTCCAAATAGTCAAAAGTTCAGAAAATACATCTTTTAATACAGTACTTGAAGGAAGTGTTACAATGGACTTTGTGGTATGAAGAACTGCAAGACTGTTCCGTGAGGCTTTCAACAAATAGCGCTTCTACCTTATTCACAGAAGGAACATTTCTAAACCATTCCTGATTTTCTAAATAACACTAATGAAGTTTCAATAAAAATTAATACTAACATTAGTTGAACTTTTTGCATGTGTTAGACTGTTCTAAGCACTAGACATATATGATCTCATTCTATTCGCTGAACAACTCTTTGAAGCAAACACTATTATTATCCATATTTCATAGATGACAAAAGCAAAGCAAAGTATAGGTAAGTTTCTATGTTCTCTCATTAGTAAGTGGCAGAGATAAGGTATCCAGTCTTTGTACCTTGAAATGTGCTCGCTTCAAAATAATGGCCTGTCAAATTCTAAAAGCAAATAAATTTCATGTGGATGCAGTGTCATTAGAGCAGGCACAATGTCTCTCATGTTCACTGTTACTTCTTCAGGGCCTGGCAGAAAGCCTGGTATAGATTAGAACCTTCATATGTATTCGTCAAAAACTGATTTTCATTGTAACCTATATTTCCTGCCAATGCAAAGAATCCTATTGGAAATAAGAAATTCTTCCAGAAAAGACTTTTGTTTTCGGACAGTATACCACCACATTGCAAGTTCTAATTAATAGTAAAAGACTATACTAAAAGGAAAGTAAAATAAAACTAAGTGAGAAAACAAATCTAGCAAAAAAAAAACAAAACAAAACTAAGTCTTAGTGGTGGTAATTATGTTGGTGAAATACGGTAACTTTGTAATTTAATTGTGTTTTCCTTAGTGGGTGTCAGAGAGGATTCGGTCCACAATAGAGTTGAGAAATTCAGAGGTTCTTTGCAGAACAATGAAAAAATTGGTGATCTAACTATCTTTGATTTACACATTTGAATTACAATTAGGTGTACCTGTTGCAGTTTTGGATCCTAGAAGCCTTAGCTCATAACAACAAATCCAGCAAGCCAAAGCAAAGTATAACTGGGTATCTTCCTGTGCACCTGCAGCAGCAAACAAAATGAAATTTTGGGGGTTTACCATTATTGGGTATCCAGGATATTTGATTTAAATAATCCTGCTTGGGTTTAGTCAGGGTTTTTTTTTTTAGAATTTGAATAGTGCCAATTCCAAATTTTGTTGAAAGGATTTATTAAGTTTTTCTCAAAATATCTTTCTTCCTTATATATTGATTCTTAGCTGGCCTGGAACTGGACTTCATTGCACTGAACTGAGGACTGGTTTCACCTGGCCTCCAAGAAGAATGCCAGCCATGTAAATTACTTTTTGTATTTAATAAAGTCTGTATCTCCAATAATGCTAGAAATTATAATTTTAGCACTAATCCCTAGTTATCAACACTAATATGACTGATGCAATATTTTTACATTGTAATGATCCTTTTAGCTGGTATCAGAGAGAAGGTAATTAGACATTTTCATTCCTATTGCCGACCTCTCCAGGAATCCTGATGTTTGTCCTCAAGGTAATGGGTCATCAAAATTACGCAAGCTGCAAGTTGTTCTGTGTGTGTTTTTATATCCACCTTTAGGTGGGGGACCTTTCACCAAATTTAAATGTGAATTAGCATAACCCATGCTGTTTGTGACTACACTAACAAAATATTACCATAAATTGTAAATGTGATCATTCTATGAACTTTACATCACCAAAGACATATGAAAAAATGGAGACAAAACAAAAATAATGTGATAATTGGAAATGAAACACATGAGAAACAATGGAAAGCAGTATCAATCAGAGACTGGATGTATTATTTCCAGAAGAAAAAAATTTACAGAAAGAAAAATTTTTCTAACATTTTAATAGTGATAGGATTAAAGGGCCTTCAAAAAGAGTCAAAATCACTGTAAATATTAGTTAAAGAAAGCTTTAGACATAAACAAACACTTTTCAAAAGAAAACATATATGTGGCCAACAAGGATATTTAAAAAAGCTCAATATCATTGATCACTAGAGAAATGCAAATCAAAACCACAATGAGATACCATCTCACACCAGTCAGAGTGGTTACTAATAAAAAGTCAAAAAAATAACATAATGCTGAGGTTGTGGAGAAAAGGGAACCCTTACACATATTCCCTGTTCATGGGAGTATAAATTTGTTCAGCCACTGTGGAAAACAATGGCAATTCCTCCAAAAGCTAAAAACAGAACTACCATCCACCCAGCAATCCCATTACTGAGTATATACCCAAAATAATATAAATCATTCTACTATAAAGAAACATGCATGCCTATGTTTACTGCAGAACTATTCACAATAGGAAAGATGTGACATCAACCTAAATGCCCATCATCAGTGGACTAGATAAAGAAAACATAGTACTTATACACTATGGAATACTATGCAGTCATAAAAAAGAACAAGATCATGTCCTTTGCAGGGACATGGATGGAGACCATCTTTTTTAGCAAACGAATGCAGGAACAAAAAAACTAAATAGGACATGTTCTCACTTATAACTGGGAGCTAAATGATGAAAACACATACAAAGAGGGAAATAACAAACACTGGGACTTATTGGAAGGTGGAGGGTGGGAGAAGGGAGAGGATCAGAAAAAAAAAAACAACTGTTGGTTAACAGGCTTAGTGCCTTCGTGATAAGATAATTTGTACAGCAAATCCCCATGACACAAGTTTACCTATGTAACAAACCTGCACATGTACACCTGAACCTAATAAAGAAAAGAGAAGAAAAGAAAGTTCTACTTCCTGTCCCTGGTTCTATTCCAAATGTGGTGAAACCTTGCCATGGTTCAATTCTTCTTTTTTTTTTTTTTTTTTCTTTTGTTGAAAGGGGTGTGTGTATGGGGAGGAGCTTTTGTTTATTACTCTACTAGAAAGTAAAGACTTTCACTATGTTTATTAGAAGGTTAATGATCATTGCCTGCAATAGAACTGTCATGTTCTCTTTTAAGTTATGTTCCCGTCCACCATTCTGGAGATCTGAAACAGCGGAGGATCCACTCTCAGCTTTTTGACATCCTACCCTTCTTCCTCCAGCACCCCTTCTACAGTGAAGATCTCATCTGGTGATGAGATCAGGTGTTCTGGGACCTGTCAAACTTAGCTATTTCTCTTAATCTTTCAAGACTTAAACTTCTAAAACTTCAATTTTTTTTCTCACTTTGAATACTTTTTACTACGCAACAAGGCAGGATGAGCATGGAGATGCTTTTCTTAAGAATTTTTACACATTCTTGACAAATCTGGAGTGGAAAGCCTATGTTAGTTCTGACCTAGATGTTTAAACAAGCTTCCTTTTATTTTCCTATTTTTCTAGTTGGGTGGTATGATAAGATCTTAGGCTTTTCTGTGAGCTTTCCACATAGAAAAGGACAGAAAAAGCCATTTGGCCTACATTTGTATTAGGGTTGTGGCTGCTTCTAGCAATTTAAAATATTTTTTTACCTGAGATTAGGCCTCTCTCCTTGGGTTCTACATAAATGTTTGGAACCAAGCCATTGTCCTCTGTACATCTGTTTTCTTCACCTCTACTACCTTGCTGAATGAACTAACAAGATTGAGGTATTTCTTAGGACTTTACTCAATAGCATCTTTTTTTAAAAAAAAAAATTTACTTTTTATGGGTACATACTAAATGTATATATCAATAACATCTTAAAGTCATCTCTTTGTTATGTAACATTATTTCAGCAAATTAAGCAAGAATAATGCACAGGAAGCATTCAAAGACAAAATCCCTAGTGGAAAGCCAATTTCCAACATTGGGAGAGATACTTAGAATTTCTGTTAACAAATGACAGGCCCGGTGAACCCTACTCAGAGTCTATGGGAACAAGCTCTCGTTGGCTAAAATAAGGCTTTGTTTGGGGATGAGGGCACAAGTAAGATTCAAATAGCAAGAAGGCAAAGTCTACAGAATGGGAGAAAGTTTTTGCAATCTGCCCATCTGACAAAGGGCTAATATCCAGAATCTACAAAGAACTCAAACAAACTTACAAGAAAAAAAACAACCCTATCAAAAAGTGGGCAAAGGATATGAACAGACACTTCTCAAAAGAAGACATTTATGCAGCCAACAGACAAATGAAAAAATGCTCATCATCACTGGTCATCAGAGAAATGCAAATCAAAACCACAATGAGATACCATCTCACACCAGTTAGGATGGCAATCATTAAAAAGTCAGGAAACAACAGGTGCTGGAGAGGATGTGGAGAAATAGGAATCCTTTTACACTGTTGGTGGGAGTGTAAATTAGTTCAACCATTGTGGAAGACAGTGTGGCGATTCCTCAAGGATCTAGAACTAGAATTACCATTTGACCCAGCCATCCCATTACTGGGTATATACCCAGAGGATTATAAATCATGCTACTATAAAGACTCATGCACACATATGTTTATTGTGACACTATTCACAATAGCAAAGATTGGAACCAACCCAAATGTCCATCAATGATAGACTGGATTAAGAAACTATGGCACATATACACCGTGGAATACTATGCAGCCATTGAAAAGGATGAGTTCATGTCCTTCGCAGGGACATGGATGAAGCTGGAAATCATCATTCTCAGCAAACTATCACAAGGACAGAAAACCAAACACTGCATGTTCTCACTCATAGGTCGGAATTGAACAGTGAGATCACTTGGACTCAGGGTTGGGAGCATCGCACACCAGGGCCTGTTGGGGGGTTGGGGGATTGGGGAGGGATAGCATTAGGAGAAATACCTAATGTAAATGATGAGTTGATGGGTGCAGCAAACCAACATGGCACATGTATACCTATGTATCAAACCCCTAAGTATCAAACCTGCACGTTGTGCATATGTACCCTAGAACTTAAAGTATAATAATAATTTAAAAAAAGAAGGCAAAGTTTAGATCAAGCAGAGCTTCAGAGGCTTAATTTGATTTTTAGTTTATTGGTGTCAAGCATTGGCAGATGGTACTACATTGGCTGCTCTGATATTCCTCACTGTTAACTTATTTTGAACAACTGCATCTAGGTCAAGAAAGTCCACCAACCTGGGCAGCATAATTAGACACTGTCTCTATAAAAAATTTAAAAATTAATCACGCACTGTGGTGTGTGCCTCTGGTCTCAGCTACTCAGAAGGCTGAGATGAGAGGATCGCTTGAGCCTAGAAATTCAAGGCTGAGCTGAGCTATGATCATGCCCACTACACTCCAGTCTGGGTGACAGAGTGAGATCTTGTGTCTAAGGAAAAGAGAACGGGGAGGGGAGGGGAGGGGAGGGGAGAAAAATCCGTGATAGGGTTGTTGTCTGAGGGCTGTTTGGAGTCTTTCTGTGGTGTTCCCTCCAGGTGCTCTTAAGTTGGCTGCGAATTCTTCACTGCATGTGTTGGTCTGTGAATTTTTTTTTTTTTTTTTGAGATGGAGTCTCGCTCTGTCGCCCAGGCTGGAGTGCAGTGGTGCGATCTTGGCTCACTTCAAGCTCCGCCTCCTGGGTTCATGCCATTCTCCTGCCTCAGCCTCCAGAGTAGCTGGGACTACAGGCGCCCGCCACCACACCCGGCTAATTTTTTGTATTTTTAGTAGAGACGGGGTTTCACGGTGTTAGCCAGGATGGTCTCGATCTCCTGACCTCGTGATCTGCCGTCTCGGCCTCCCAAAGTGCTGGGTGGTCTGTGAAAATTTGACCCTCCAAGATTTTCTTATACTTCATTAAAATTGTCTCTACGTTTCAAATGCCTGACTCAGTGTACTACATTTCATCAAATATGTTAATCAGATGGGGGAGGGAGACAGATACTGGGAAATGCATGAGAAATAAAAAATTAAGATCTGTAAACCTCAAGGCTTTGTCTCTGAAGCAGGAAACCTCTATTCTCCAGGCAATTTCAGTAAAGCTTCCTAATTATGACCAAATAGCAATATTCCTCTATACTTAAAAATGCTACTGTACTACATTTTGAAATTCAGTCTCAGAGTCACAGAGATATAAAAATGTAAGGCTTCCCTGTGGTATGCTCAGGAAATACGAGCAGTGTTCTACCAGGTGACCATCTCTCTTTTTTTTTACTAACTCTGATCTCTGTTCTTGTAGGTGAACAATGTGGTAAAGTAGGAAATAAAAACTAAAAAAAAAAAAAATCACTGGATCAATTCTGAGGGATCTGGAATATAATTTAGACTGCCAGTAAATAGCTATCTAAACTTGGAGCATTTGTAATACCCATAAGCCAAAGTGTGTTTAATCTACAAAGCAAGACTAAGTATTTGTAAAAATTGAATCCAAAAACATACATAATAATTAAAGCATTTGTAAAATATCTGTATATTAAAAGTGATAAAAGAGTCACACAGTTCTTCTGATTTAAGAAATTACAATCAGGTTATCTTCGCGGACATATTTATCCATGGCTATAAAATTTTAATATATTTACTGGTTTGGTTTATGAGGATTGAGAAAATATGGCCATGCTTAGGAAAAATGTGGTGATATGTTACAACCCATTTTATCATGCAGTAATATATTCAAGGTCAGCCAACAGCTATATGCAGAGGGGTTTCGTTTTACTCATATCAATAAATAACTATCCATCAGGAAAAATATTATCAAATATTAATAAGTACGGATGTTGAATAATATTCAACATTTTTTAAAAGGTTATAGGTAGGCTGGGCGCAGTGGCTCACGCCTGTAATCCCAGCACTTTGGGAGGCCGAGGCGGTCGGATCACGAAGTCAGGAGATTGAGACCATCCTGGCTAACACAGTGAAACCCCGTCTCTACTGAAAAAATTAGCCGGGCGTGGTGGCGGGCGCCTGTAGTACCAGCTACTCGGGAGGCAGGAGAATGGCGTGAACCCGGGAGGCGGAGCTTGCAGTGAGCCGAGATGGCGCCACCGCACTCCAGCCTGGGCGACAGAGCGAGACTCCGTCTCAAAAAAAAAACAAAAAAAAGATTATAGGTAAAAGAACAATGTCAAGGCTAATTATTTGTGGCTGACACAAAAGGATTAGAGTATAAAAGTAATGCCTGTAAAGAAGCCTAAAATATTCATTCAGTTACTCAAAAGAAACATGATGTTGGAACAAGAAGCGGTTAAATTCATTCATTTAATTAAGTATAAGATTAATGGTTCAATAATTAAATAAATATAATAATCTAAAAATATGACATTATATTGAAAAGTGCATTAAAATGTAAGATTAACCACATCGTTACTTCTGCTTCATTCTAAAATCTCACAAAATGACACTAGAATGATTATTTAAAGAGACAAATTAAAAGAAAAAAGAACAAGGTAGGATGTGATAGCAGTAAAAGTTTGAAACCTATAAAGCACAAGGCAAAAGTGGCAACTGACTTGATGAACTGGAGGAAAAACAAACCTAAGTTTACAGGATTCAGGTATGAAGATGAAAATCAGCATAGTAGTTACCCCTGTGCAGAGATGATTGACAAGCAAGGGATGAAAGAACTTTCTAGAGTGATGAATATATTTTCTATTTTACAGTAGTGGTTATATAAATGTTTAGCTTTTTCAAAACTAACTAGACTATATGCTTAAAATCTATGCATTTTCTTAACTATAAGTTTTATTGCAATGAAAAAAAAGTCTGTATCTTGTACTGCTTCCCTTTTTTCTCTCGTCTCTAAAATAACCTGGAATGGAGCATTGTGCATTCAAAAAAGAGAATTGGCAATTACTTTTCTGCAAAATTTTCATCACATTTTTATTTAAAATCTACAACTAATAGCCTCAGAGAGTCTATTACACATTCGGCATCAAGAAAAGGATGTTATAATGCTGTAAAATGTAGCATGCAAAGAATAAAAGGTGCTCTTGAAAACTATATATGATAAAATTAAAAGTAAGCAAATAAATCTTAAGGAGGTAATTTATCAAATAAATAATTAAAGAGTGCACAGAAAAGAATTAATGGACAATAAATAGCTTAAACTCAACCTTGAAGTATTGGAAAATATAACTAGTACATACCGTGTACTTTCTATGTACCAAAAACATAATTAGGTGTCACCCATGTTATATTATTTAATTATAGCGATGACCCCATAAGAGAAAGAATATAAGAATATGCCTGCATAAGTCACATAAGAATTTAGTACAGCTGAATAATTCTACTCATATATATAATTCCAAATTCAGGCTTTTAACCACGATTAAAAGCTGTCTATTTTAGGTGATACCATCTTCTACCCAGAGGAAATCCTGAGCTCTTCTAGATGAGGAAAGGAATCTCAGATGAAGGTTGAGGACACTTTTTTTTTGATAGGTATAGGAGGGAACACTTGATCTGAAAAACTTCAGCTCTGTCAGTATGACCTTAGTTTGGAACCACAAGCTGTTGAGACACTGTGAGCAGTATAGCATATATGGAAAATAAACTGACCAGATTGTAGAGATGCCTAAATACCAGACTAAGGGAAGCATTATCCTATAGTTACTTTAAAGTTACTTGAATAAGCAAATTCTAATGCACACCAAAACTTTTCAAATTATCAAATATGTTGTAAATGTGAATGTTTGAGAACAGATATTTTTAAATGGCTCACCTTTGAAATCAATTGATATAAATGAGTTACTGAATAATGTACAACCAAGTACTCACAAGAGGTTAAATTTTAAGTAATCAATCCACATTCACTAGGATGGATTTTAAAAATAAAAGCTTTAAAACTACCAAAAGCAAGTGACTAGAATTATCCAGGAATGTAATTTGCCAGTCTTTTCTGAGGATTTTTTGATAATATACAGTATCTCTTAACATATCATAAGTAATAAACTAGCAACTTCGAGTGTAGGAAATACTAAACCAAATAAAGATGTATAAATATGTGCACCAATAAACATGTACAAAAATGTTCATAGTGGTATTGTTAATAGTAATGTGATACCAGAACAATCTAAAGGTGAATAATAATAGAAAAAAATACATTGTGGTATATTTATATAATGAAATGCTATAAAGTAATGAAAAGAATCAAGCTAATGCCACATATTATATGGATGAGTGTCATTGAAATAATGTCGAATGAAAGAAGCCAGACATAATAGTGAATGCTATGAAATGGAGATTCATTGTAAAAATCCACATTCTATAAAAAGACACCTGGTACTTCGGCCTTTGATTAAAGACAAACAAATATTGTAAACAGGCATAAATGAGGTGATATGCCCAACATCATTCAAATTGTATAATATATTGTGAGCAATTTGCCGTGTGATGTACTCAAGGCCTAAAATACTAAACAAGAGAGTCTACAAAATGCAGTGATAGAGCAAATTCTTACAAGCATTTAGATTCTCTTATAACCTGAAATTGATTAAATAATACAACACAGGCATTATCTTGGGTCATATTTTGGAAGAAATAGCTTTCCCATTGAGCTCATAAAGTAAAATTTACACATCCATACATGTTATTACATGTTATCAAATGAATTACATACCAGTTCAAAATATCTGGTCACCAATAATGTACCTACCTGATGCTGTTTTTGGATATCCACAATGTATACCAATATTTTTGGAAGTTTATATTATATCCATTCTAGAAAGATATTTTGAAAAAAATTATTGCTCATAACCAGTTCTGCAATTCATCTACCTTTTAGATTATTGCTGAAATAGTCATAACTTAGGAAATAATAAATAATGTGGTCTATGTATTAACTAAATATCATAAAGCTTAAAAACTGAATTAATTTGAAAAGAGTAAGAGTAACATCCCCCTTTCCTCTCTGTTGCAAGCAAATGCAACTCAGGGGAAAAAAACTCAAGAGGTTCTTGAATAGGTAAAAAAATTACTTAATTTTGTTGTGGAAATATTTCATTTTCTCCCTCAACTTTTGGGGAAAATGCGGAAATTATTCATTTTTCAAATTATTGACATTGAACCCAACCTTAAACAAACATTTTAGAGAGACATAAAATGGAAAATAAGTATTATTACTTAATCCATAATTTAATTTGAATAAAATGAAATAATGAGATAGGTCTTGTCTCTCACATAAATTAGGAATAATAAAAAGCATACAGAAGTCCTGCCTAGGTCACAGGAGATGGGAACATTAATACACTTCTATTGCGGATGTAAATTGGTAATATCTTTCTGAAAGGGATATTGCCAGTATGTATTATTTTCTTAAAAAATGTATTGTCAGAATCAAAGGACTTGGTAGTTTTGGTTCTGACAATGTTTCCTGAAGTTATACAATGAATACAATTGTCAGAATACTCATCATGGGTTGTAAATAGAATAAAGAAAGGCAATCTATGTATGTACTTAACAATAGAAATTGGTTATGTTAGCCATGGAACATTATGTAGCCATTAAATCATGGAGTAGAAATGTAGAAACTATAGAAAGCTTTAGTATATAATTAAAAGAGAAAAAATAGGAAAGAAATATGCGTGATATAATAATACTACAAGGTAAAAAAAATAAAATTCTACATGTATTGTTATCAATTTATTTACTAATTATTGACTAATAGACTACTATGTATATATAAGATTTATTTATCAATTAGAAATATGTTTATTGACTAACAATGATCATGTGAATTTAAAGAATTTTATCTTCACTTTTTAGATTTATTCTAATGTTATTCTATAAATGCAACTATTATAGAATAAAAAATAAAATTATATTTCAAAAGAAATTAATCGAAGAATAATGCTTTTTTCATTCATATAGAGGATACATATTTGTAAAATAAAGTGCCTTTAAAGTGTGGATTCATGTATTATGCCAAAATATATGTATTTCTATAGACATAGAAATAAGAATGCTCCCTATAATAGTCCATTATTTTACTTTTAAATATTTCTCCTTTTCTGCATTCAAAATGTTTTATACATGTTGTCATTAATCATCTTATTATTCCTTTCTGGTAAGTAGGTGGTAAAAGCTATTTAAAATCACTCACTGTAGAATAGGATAATTAGGACATGTATGAACATGGACTACAGATTAGGATAAGGAAATACAAGTGCTACAAGTCATGGTGACCAATTACTGACTTTTTATGAATTGTAAGTCTAATAGCAAAACATTGTGAACTGCAACTATAAATAAATTTCCTTGTTTTTTTCACCAATGTAATCAGCTTGGGGGTTTATTAACAGCTGCCTGCAATGTGCAGAAAGTGGGAGGGGAAACTTCAGCCCATTTCTTTTAAAATAATTATACTCCCAATGACTACAATATAATGTTGGCTCACTATAAACTAATCTAACACACACTCTGCCTCTCTTGACTTTCAAATCATCCACATAGGTCCAAAAGCCTCAAATTAAAGGAAAGTAAAAGGAACTCTGCAGTATATTCTGCAATTCCTTTGAATGTAGTTTGCGATTATTTTCCATGGTCGCCTCTCACAATTAACTAAAATAATATTGAATGTCTATGTCTGTCAATATCTCTATCTCAGTCTCTGTTTTTGTGTCTGTCTCCTTTTTTTGTTCTACTTCTTTCACTTTATTGTATGCAAAAGTAAAAACAAACATATACTGATGATAAATTACAAAATGTTACTTTTTAGGTGAATGCTGGAGTTGCTCAGTGTGCCCAAAAAGAGTGAGAGTTAACATCTTCTTGTAAGCTGTATCTTTAGTCAAGATCTAGGAGAGTGATTTTTTTTAAGTGACAATATTTGCTTCATATTTCAATAATGTTGTTCTAAATAGCAAGTGCCTAGCATAATTAAAATCTATATTAAGAAGTTGATATTTTTAAAATTAAATTTAAAGAACTTAAAGAAAACTTACACCACAAGAGTGATGCATGGATCTTTTGCATAAAATATTTCTCTAGGAAGGGGCGGTGCAGACCCCAGATTTTACGTATTTGGTATTTAAGTCCATTTAAATTGAAAAGTTACCATAAATTATATGGTGTATGTATTTTTTCCTTTTTTTTTTTTTTTTTTTTTGAGACGGAGTTTTGCTCCTGTTGCCCAGGCTGGAATGCAATGGTGCAATCTCAGCTCACCACAACCTCCGCCTCCCAGGTTCAAGCGATTCTCCTGCCTCAGCCTCCCGAGTAACTGGGATTACAGGCATGCACCACCATGCCCAGCTAATTTTGTACTTTTTAGTAGAGATGGGGGTTTCTCCATGTTGGTCAGGCTGGTTTCGAACTCCCAACCTCAGGTGATCCACCCGCCTCAGCCTCCCAAAGTGCTGGGATTACAGGCGTGAGCCACTGCATCTGACCATCACATTTTTAAAGTAGAATAAATTATCCTTCACGAAGCCTTCCAAAAGAGAGAAGAGGAAATACTTTGCTCAGCTCATTATATTATGAGCCCAGTGTTACCTGGACACCAAAGCTAGCCAAGGTATTACAAGAAAAAAAATGCAGATGAAAATATCTTACAAATATGGATACAAAAATCCTCAACAAAAGCTAGCAAACTGAATCCAGAAACATATAAAGAATCATTATACAATGGACCAAGGATAGGAATACAAGGTTGATTTAATATCTAAAAAATAAATCAATGTAATACACCATATTCATAGAATAAAAGATAAAAACTCATAATTTTCTCAGTAGATGCAGAAAAAATATTTGACAAAACCCAACATCCGTTCATGATAAAATATACAGTAGGAATACAATGAAGCTTCTTCTACCTGATAAAGGACATCCTCAAACAACCACAATTAACATTAAAATTAATGGTGAAAGACTGAAAACTTTACCCTAATATTAGGAATAAGATAAAAATGTATACACTCATCACTTCTATTCAACAATATTGAAGGTTATAGCCAGGGCAGTTAGACAAGAAAAAGAAATAAAACACATCCAGATGGGGGCCGGATGCGGTGGCTCATGCCTGTAATCCCAGCGCTTTGGGAGGCCGAGGCGGGGGTATCACGAGGTCAGGAGATCGAGACCATCCTGGTTAAAAATACTAAAAATACAAAAAATTAGCCAGGCGTGATGGTGGGCGCCTGTAATCCCAGCTACTCAGGATGCTGAGGCAGGAGAATGGCGTGAACCTGGGAGGCGGAGCTTGCCGTGAGCCGAGATCGCGCCACTGCACTCCAGCCTGGGCGACAGAGCCAGACTCTGCCTCAAAAAAATAAAATAAAATAAAAAAACACATCCAGATGGGAAAGAAATAAGTAAAACTACCTCCATTTTCAAATAACATGATCTTGTATATACAAAATCATAAGGAATATGCAAAAGAAAAGCTGCTAAAATGAGTAAGTTCATCAAAGTTGTGAAATACAAAATTAACATATAGCTGGGTGCAGTGTCTCACACCTGTAATCCCAGCACTTTGGAAGACTGAGGTGGGAGGATCGCCTGGGCCCAGGAATTTGAGACCAGCCTGGGCTACACAGGGAAATCCCCATCTCTACGATAAACAAAGAATGAGCTGGGCAGGGTGGCACACACCTGTGGTCCCAGCTACTCAAGAGGCTGAGGTAGAAAGTTTGCTTGATCCCAGCAGGTCAAGGCTGCAGTGAGCTATGCTTGTGTCCCTGCATTCTAGCCTGTGCAATAGAGTGACACTCTGTCTCAAAAAAAAAAAAAAAAGTAAAGAAAAAATAATTAACATACAAAAGCAATTGCATATCAATATAGTAATAATGGACAACACAAAAATGAAATTAAGAAGAAAAAATCAATTTATAATCACAACAAAAAGAACAAAATATTTAGACATAAATTTAGCAAAAGAAGCACAAAGTGTGCATCCAGAAAACTACAAAGCACTGTTGAAGAAGAAAAAATTAAAGAAAGATGTAAATAAATGGAAAGACACCTCATGTTTATAGATTGTAACACTAAATATTAAGATAGCAACACTTCTAAAACTGATATATCAATAAAATAGGATCCTTTACAAAATCCTAGCTGGCTTTTTTGCAGAAATTTCCAAGCTGCTCCTGAAATTCATATGTAATTGCAGGGGACCCAGAAAAATCCAAAACAATGTTCAAGGAGAACAAAGTAAGAGGATCCACACTTTCTGATTTCAAAACCTACTTAAAAATGACAATGATCCAGATATTGTGCTACTAGCCTAAGGACAGACATAGAGATCAAAGAAATAGAACTGACAGTCAATAAGTATTTTCTTACATTTCTGATCAATTGACTTTTGACAGGGGTAAAAAGACAATTTAATGGAAAAAGAGTAGTCTTTCAATACATTGTGCTGGGTCAAGTGGATATCCACAAGCAAAAAATTAACTTGGACTGTTACTTCATACCATATATAAAATCAAAATTGATCAAAGATCTAAAAGGAAGAGCTAAAACTATAATATAAAACTCTTCCACAAAAACTTTGGGGGAAAATCTTCATAACCTTGGGTTTCTCATTGAGTTCTTAGATATCACACTAAAAAACACATCAATGAAAGAAAAAATACAATTTCATGTAATATTGAATATTTGATAAGGAACTTGTATCCAAAATATATAACCCAATAATAAAAGAGACAATAACACAATGTAATAATAGGCAAAAAAAATCTGAGTAGAAGTGTCTTCAGAGAAGATATATGGATGGCTAACAAACGTATTAAAAATGTTCAACCAGCATCACTCGTCATTATGGAAACACTAAAAATGAAAACCCCAGTAAGGTATAACCCCACACTCACTCAAATGGCTAAAATAAAAAAGACAAGTGTTGGAGAGGATGTGGAGAAATTGGAACCATCATATACCACTGGCAAAATTGTCAAATAGTGCAGTCACTTTGGAAAGTAGTTCAGTAGCTCCTCAAAATGTTAATAATAAAGTTATCATATTACCCTGTAATTCCACTCAAAGGTTTTTATTGAAGAAAATTTGTATTAGTCCATTCTCACAATGCCATAAAGAACTACCTCAGGCTGGGTCATTTATAAAGAACAGAGGTTTAATAGACTCACAGTTATGTAGGCTGTACAAGGAGTCATGACTGGGGAAGCCTCAGGAAACTTATAACCATGGAGGAAGGTAAAGGGGAAGCCAGCACATCTTACATGGTGGGAGCAGGAGGAATAGAGAAAATGGGGAAGTGTTGCACATTTTTAAACAGCCAGATCTCATTAGAACTCACTCGCTATCATGAGAACAGCAAGGGAGAAGTCCGTCCCCATCAGCCAATCACCTCCCACCAGACTCCTCCTCCGACACTGAGGATTACAATTCAGCATGAGATTTGTGTGGGCACACAGAGCCAAACCATATCATTCCACCCCAGGCCCTCCCAAATCTCATGTCATTCTTATATTTCAAAACACAGTCATATCTTTCCAACAGTATCCCAAAGTGTTAACTCATTCTAGCATTAACTCAAATTCCAAGTCCAAAATCTCATCTGAGACAAGGCCAATCCCTTCTGCCTATGAACCTATAATATCGAAATCAAGTTAGTTACTTCCAAGATACAATGGTGGTACAGACATTCGGTAAATGCTCCCATTTCAAAAGAGAAAAATTGGCCAAAACAAAGGGGTTACAGGCCCCATGCCAAGTCCAAAACCCAGCAGGGCAGTCATTAAGTCTTAAAGCTCCAAAATAATCTCCTTTGACTCCATGTCTCACATCTAGGACATGCTAATGCAAGAGGTAGTCTCTCAAGGCTCTGCCCCTGTGGCTTTGCAGGGCACAGCCCCCTTGGCTGCTTTCCTGGGCTGGCATTGAGTACCTGTGGCTTTTCCTGGTGCATGCTGCAAGCTGTCAGTGGATCCACCATACCAAGATCTGGAAGATGGTGGCCGTCTTCTCACAGTTCCACTGGGTAGTGCCCCAGTGGGGAACTCTGTGTGGGGCTCCAATCCAATATTTCTTTTCCACACTTTCCTAGCAGAGGTTCTCCATGAAGGCTCCACCTCTGTAGCAGTTTTCTGTCTAGACATCCAGGTATTTCCACACATCCTCTGAAATCTAGGCAGAGGCTCCCAAGCCTCAACTCTGGCCCTCTGCCCACCTGCAGGCTTAACACTATGTGGAGGCTGCCGAGGCTTGTGGCTTGCACTCTCTGGACCAGTGGACTCAGACATATTTGAGGCCCTTTTAGTCACAGTTAAACCTGGAGTGGCTGGGATGCAGGATACCATGTCCTGAGACTGTACAGAGCAGCAGGGCCCTGGGCCTGGCCCATGAAAACCAGTTTTTCCTCCTGGGCTTCCAGGCCTAAGATGGGAGGGCCTGCTGCAAAGGTCTCTGCAATGCCTTGGAGGCACTTTCCCATCGTCTTGGTTATTAACATGCAGCTTCTCTTTACTTATGTACATTTCTGTAGCTGGCTTGAATTCCTCCACAGAAAAATGGGTTTTTATTTTCTACCACATGGTCAGGCTGGAAATTTTCTAAACTTTTATGCTCTGCTTTCCTTTTAAATATAAGTTCCAGTTTTAGGTCATTTCTTTGTTTATGCAGATGAGTGTAGGTTTGTAGAAGCAGCCAGGTCAAATCTTAAATGTTTTGCTGCTTAGAAATTTCTTCTGCCAGATACCTGAAATTATCATTCTGAAGTTCAAAGTTTCACAGATCTCTTGGGCAGGGGCAAAATGCTGCTGCCAGTCTCTTTGCTAAAGCATAGACAGAGTGACCTTTACTCCAGCTCCCAGTACATTCCTCATCTCCATCTGAGACCACCTCAGTCTGGACTTCCTTGCCCATATCACTATCAGCATTTTGGTTACAACCATTCAACAAGTGTCTAGGAAGTTTCAAACTTTTCCTCATCGTCTTTTCTTTTTCTGAGCCTTCCAAATTGTTCCAACCCTGTTCCCAAGTTGCTTTCATATTTTCAGGTATCTTTATAGTAATGTCCCATTTCTCTGGTACCAACTTTCTGTATTAGTTCATTGTCACACTGGCTTCTCCTTCACCTTCTGTCATGACTGTAAGTTTCCTGGGACCTCCTCAGCCATGTTGCCTGTACAGCCTGTGGAACTGTGAGTAAATTAAACCCTAGTCCTTTATTTAAACTGACCCTATTTTGTTTAATTTTATGATTAATTTTGGGGGGATATTAGGTCATGATGTCTCTATGCAGACACCATTGAAAGATTACTTTTTTTTTAATTTGGGAAAATCAGATTATCTCAAGTCCAGGCTCCCCATTTATGACATAACATTCAAATTATAATAATAAAGGCATCTCACTGTGGTCACTCTCTTTATCTTATATCTGGTTTCTTTTTCCGCTTATGTGCTCCAGTGAAATCAAACTACTCAGTTTTTCTCAAATGTACCTATTATATTTCCATTTGAATGCTTTGATTCACCTTGTTTTCTCATGAGGAAGGGTTTCTTTCCTCCTTATCTTTACTGTTGAAATTCTGTTTTCAAGACCTAGTTGAATGTCATCTTCTCTATGTAGCTTTTTTCATTTCACCAAACATAAACAATTATTTTGAAATCCACACTATTATAAACACTTAGTACCACTCATTAACACTCAGCAGATTCTCACTTTATTATCATGAGATACTCAGTAAATTTTGAACTAAATGGCAATATTTCTTATGAACACTTAAGAATAAACCTAAGCAATTTTTAATCCTCTCACCTCAAAATACAAAAAAATATATTTAAAAGAACAGGGCTAACTTTTCTTCATCATGTTCTCACAGTTCCTAACTGCTTAGGGAAGAAAGGGAGGTCAATTGTATAGCCACATTGATTGAACAATCATGTTTTTCTTCAGTGATAGCCAAGGCAGAGTTTGAGTGTAATTGTTCAGGGACTGTGTGACTATTGTATTGGGTCAGTCATCTGTCTAAGAAATGAACTGGACAACCTTCAAATGGCAATGACTTCAATTCCTTTGAGATCTGAATCGGCCAGAAAACTAACAATAAATGGTTGTGTATGTAGTGATTTCCTGTTGGCAAGTTGCATGTACTCTACAAATATGTCTCAACTTAGATGGAAAAGATCATTATTACTTTGATCTAAAGTTCAGATTGAGAAACTCTAACACCAAGCCATTAAATGTATCAAGCAAGGTCAGAGACTGAAAATGATAATATCTCAGAGGTTCCAAGTTTTGGTTTATCTGCCAGAAGACATAATTTCTTGGTAAAAGTTTATTGCTGTGCCCCAGTGTTCTGAGAGCCACAGGCAAGCTCTTTCAAAATGATGTTATGTCCCTAAAGTAAAAACCTTGAAATTAATCTATAATATACCAGTATAATATTTTTATAAAAGTTACTCTCTAGCAACCAAAACTTACTGGAGCACTTCTGAGAAACCAAAAAAAGCATCATAAAAATAATACACTGAAGTCCAAACCCTACTTAAAAGGAGTCCCTCAAACTATCATTCAGTATCCATGTTAGATAGTTCCAACCATCTGATAATCTTAATATATATAGTATAGTATATATATAGTAGAGACTACTATATATATATATATAGTAGAGACTACTATATATATATAGTAGAGAGACTACTATATATATATATAGTAGAGAGACTACTATATATATATATAGTAGAGAGACTACTATATATATATAGTAGAGAGACTACTATATATATATAGTAGAGAGACTACTATATATATATATAGTAGACTACTATATATAGACTACTATATATATATAGTAGAGAGAGTACTATATATATAGTAGAGTACTATATATATAGTAGAGAGAGTATTCTATATATATAGTAGAGAGAGTACTATATATATATAGTAGAGAGACTACTATATACATATATATGTAGAGAGACTACTATATACATATATATATAGTAGAGAGACTACTATATATATAGTAGAGAGACTGCTATATATATATAGTAGAGAGACTGCTATATATATATATAGTAGAGAGACTGCTATATATATATATAGTAGAGAGACTGCTATATATATATATAGTAGAGAGACTGCTACATATATATATGTAGTAGAGAGACTACTATATATATATAGTAGAGAGACTACTATATATATATAGTAGAGAGACTACTATATATATATAGTAGAGAGACTACTATATATATATAGTAGAGAGACTACTATATATATATAGTAGAGAGACTACTATATATATATATAGTAGAGAGACTACTATATATATATATATATATATATATATATATATATATATATATATATAGTAGAGAGACAGAAATTAGCCAGATGTGATGGTGTGTACCTGTAGTTGCAACTACTCAGGAGATTGAGGTGAGAGGATCATTTGAGCCTGGGAGATTGAGGTTGCAGTGAGCCATGATCCTATTACTTTATTCCAGCCTGGGCAACAGAGCAAGAACCCGTCTCAAGAAACAACCCCAGAAATCTACTGTTTCATGGTTCTGAAGACTGGAAGTCTGAAATCAAGGTGTCAGCAAAGCCACGCTCCCTCTAAAGGCTCCAGGGTAGAATCCCGTCTTGCATCTTATAGCTTCTGATGACTGCTAGCAACATTTGGCATTACCTAGCTTGTAGATGTATCACTCCAATCCATGCATCTATCTTCCCATGGACAGATCTGCTGTGGGTCTATCTCCCTGTTTCCAAATGTCTCTCTTTCTATTATAAGGACACTAATCATAAAGGATTTAAAGATCACACAAATCCAGTATGACCTTATTCTTATTTGATTATATATGCAAAGAACCTATTTCAAATAAGTCACATTCACAGGTTTCACATCCACATGAAATTTTGCAGTGGCAACATTCAACCCAGTATATCATCCATGGACCTAGTTATTAAGGCACTTGAGGGTTGGTTAGCCCATAGCTTCTCTGTGCCTCTATATATATTTTCATGTTAAAACAAAAAAGGAGCCCTTGGATCATATGCAGAGCAATTTTCTTGATTTAATCTGGAATTTCTGTGTGAGTTCAAATAATTTTGCATTTGATCAAAGTCATGATTTGCATATCATATATAACTAATAATCAGAGCAGATTCTATACGAGTAAAAGACTTGAAAGAAGCTTCAGAATTCCAGAGTGGTATAGTTAAGCACATTGATTTATTATTAAAGAGACTAGTCATTTTTAGTTTACTTATATTAGCACTATTGAACATATTAGCTATCTAAAATTCTGCTGGATGACCATAAATGAAGAGGAACAAGATAGGGAGAAGAATGAAAATGAAGAAAAGGTAGATACTTTCAACAAAGCCTGAATAAGAATTATTAAATATTTATAGGCATCTACCAAGTGTTAAGTGATCTCAGAGAAGGTGACCGAAAGGGAGTTTTGTTTGGGAAAGAAAAGTAGGGAAGACTACCCCAAGCCAAATAAGCGGCATATATATAGTTTTGGTATGCATTGGAACAAAGAAGGAGCATGTGGGTGCAGAATAGAGAGAAGAGTATTGAGAAAAAAAGCATTGTAGCAGATGTTGCTTAAAAGTGAGGATGGAGCCACATTGAGCCATATATGTGAAAAGTAAATCCATGGCCATGACCAAATTTTTTCCTCAATAAATTGAGAATTCCTTATTTTTTTGCTATCTGGAAAATGGAATCTTTGTACAGATGGTCTCCAAGGTTCACAGAGAAACAGTTTTATCATGTATCACAATAATAATTAGGATCTTTGGTTTCCACTCACTTATCAAAGACAATCTCATTGTTTTTGCAAACAGTGTTCTTTCTTCAAAACAGCCTGATGACAATCTATTTCTAGTAAAGTACTGAGCAACAATATAATAAATTTGGTAAGGTCAAATTCGTTTTTGTTTTTTTGTTTGTTTTTTGGGATGGAGTCTCGCTCTGTTGCCAGGCTGGAATGCAGTGGCACCATCTTGGCTCACTGCAACCTTCGCCTCCCAGGTTCAAGCAATTCTGCTGCCTCAGCTTTCCGAGTAGCTGGGATATGTACAGGTGCATGCCACCACGCCTGGCATTTTTTTTTTTTTTTTTGTATTTTGGTAGAGACAGGGTTTCACCATGTTGCCCAGGCTGGTCTCAAACTCCTGAGCTCAGGCAATCCGCCCAACTTGGCCTCCCAAAGTGTTAGGATTACAGGTGTGAGCCACCACACCGGGCCGATAATGTCAAATTTCAAGACACTTGAGTCCCAATTCCAACCACAACTAGAAAAACTTACCTGTTTATTTTGTTTAATACCATAGTTATTTAACTAAATCTATCTTCAGTATTTAAACGAAAATAAGTAGACCTGAGGTATTGGTGTCAAAACAAATCAAGCCACCCTTGAGTGAAAACTATGGTATTTACATGCTTTGGGTAACATAAACATAAAATTTAAAAATATTCTATCATTTTAGAATTCTTCAAATTCTGTTTTATGTCACTATAAAACTATAATTTTGTTTTATTAGAAAGCAAGTATCCTGCATCCCCTAAATGTTGAAAGTAATAAGCTACACAGTGCATGTACCTACTTTAATGAAAAGGATAAAATGGACAATGTATTGTATAAGTCTTACTGCAATAATGCTGAGTAAAACTATTAGGTTATATCAAAACATGCTCTTTACAATCAGAACAAAATAATAACATGTCTCATGTAACTTCTGGCAAAGTAGGAACAGAAAGAAAAATATGGAGAATCAATTAAATGATTTATCTTTAGTTTTGAACAACATATTTTCTCTCTCTTGTAGAAACAAGATATATATTATTAGTTTTGGTTAAAAGCTAGAAAGTGATGAGAGTTAATTATTAAATTTACATCTCTTCATGTACTAAAATCGAACATATAAAGGAAGTAAAGCTAGCCAGTTTAAAAGTGGAAATAAAACTGTATAAATCTTACTTTAAAATTATTTTAAGGAAGGATTTGCAATGAACAATTTTCCCATAAGCATACTTGTTATTCTCTGCAATTCAAAAGGCCTGACCCTTTCTCCATAATACCCTCTCTGCTTTTAATTTATATTGAGTCTCTCTCCATTATAGCAATCCAGATTGCTGTTTGAGTTGCAAGCATGGGAGGCTTAATTGGCTTGCTCCTCATTTACTACAAAAATATGCTTGGAATTATTCTTCAAGAAAGCAACAATATAAAAAATAAATTTGGCATAGAAGAACAATCTATGATCTCTTACCAACACAATACAAAATAATCATCTTTCTTATAAAGGCTTGAGTTCTTCTTTTAACACACTAAATTACCTAAATGTCATGGGGATTATAATTTCTTGTGCACTTTGGATGAATTTGATGCAACTGACTCATTGGTGTGTTAATGCAAAAGGAGGCCCTGACAGCATAATATACTCAAGTGAATAGCAATTCCTTACCAAGTCTGGGACAGCTGATTGAAGACTTTAAATAATATACATAGGGTTCAATTTACTGCTATGCACCTGTACACTATGCATTGTCAATTCTCTTTTAAAAAAGCCATTTTTCATAAATGTGTTCTTGTTTCAATTAAAAACCAATATATGATTTTGAAAAAAAAATTGTAATTGGCTACTGGGCATATAGATAATCATCACCTACTAGAAGGGACTATTCCATACACAATTTTTAACTTTAAAAAATTGGAAATACATTTTTCTTTTGTGATGAAAAATTAAATAGCACATTATTTCTTCCAGAAAATAAATTTGGAATGAAGCAGCAGATAAAAATAAAAGAAAAATAATGCATTCAGGTAGAGAGAGGGAAAAGGTGTTTGTAAAACAAAGGCCATAAACATACTAATTGTGTGAATTTCCAACACAGGATAAAAACCCGAAAATGTTTTCAATTCAATATGCCTAGTAAAACTTAGCATGATTACTTTTTTCAACAGAACAGCCCAGAATCTTACTTGTCATTAAAAAACTCTTTTCAAATACCTTGGGCATATATAATTATATATAAACATCCTTATGCTTTAGACAAGTTAATCTACACATGAAATTGATTTAATAAGTGAATAGTGGGCATGCAAGGCTCTGAGTTCTCCAAAAGCATGTTTTCCTTATACTTCAAAGACGTTTTAGTGATATTTTCTTGAAATTAACTTTCCAAATGGGGAGTTGGAACTGTGAGGTATATAAACTCATTACATTACAGCTCTTCTTTATACATGCCAGGCTCATTCTCATCCAAGATTCTTTGAATTTTCTCTTTTTTTTTCTAAAAGAAAATTGTAGAAAATTTTTCTTCTCCCCCTTTCAGTGTTTAACAAAATGTCAGTTTTCCAGTGTAGCCTTTCCTTGGTGCCTCTAGTTAACATTGTTACCTTACCTCCATACTCCCTATCACCCCTACCTGCTTCATTTGTGTTATTAGCACTTATCATTAATATGCCACATATTTTTTATACGTATCTATCTATCTTTCTATCTGATGTTTTTCTCTCTTTTCCCATTAGAAGGCACATATATTTATCTCTTTTTTACTGTGGAACCTAAAACAATAGCTGGTAGAGTAAACACACTAAGTATTAGTTGCATGAACAGATAGTCCCCTGCTAACTCTGAAAGCACATGGGAGCTCTGGCACCTCTTGGGTGATTCAAGATATCTTCTTGTGCACTGTTCTGCTTAGAAATAACAAAATGATACACAATTGCTGAATAGTATAGTCACTAAATTTATCATTTCATCGTGCTCCTTATATATAAGGAATTTTGCAATTATTGGCTTGTATAATTATCAAAATGTATTTTAAGGTAATAGTATACATTTTACAAATGAGATAATAGAAAGAGATAAAATAACTTGTAGTGATGGAGTATGAATTTGCACTTTGGCCTTCAAAATTCAAAAGCCACTGCCATGTAATGACAATATTCTATTTACAGCTACTATGTGACCGATCCAGAATTTGAGCCCCACTTTGGGTTCACAGTCCATGGTTTTTCAATTATACTATACCACCAACCTAAGAAGTTTTTACACATTGAAATTTGTTATAATATTTGTATTTACTTTGCTGGGGTCCTACAAAGTTCAGGAGTCCTCAAGACCTCCATCACTTCTGATACCAACTACAAGCTTGGAGGTTCCCCAAACCAGTTACTTTTGATACCAACTAGAAGTCTGGGCATCCCCAAGACTTCCCTCACCTGCCCTCACTGTTAGCACCAACTGAAGATTCAGAAGTCTGCCCAACCATCTTGGGTCTGACAGTTCACTACAAGAACTCACATAACTCACTTAAAGCAGTCTTCCTTACAGACATGGTTTACTATGATAAAAGAATACAAATTCAATGTATTAGCCAAAGAAGAGGCATACAGAAGAGGATACAGGAGAGTCTCTGACAAGGAGTTTCCCATTGTCTTCTCCTAGTGGAGTTGAGTAGAGAGCACAAGTTTATCTAGAAATTATGTGTGACTATAAACACAGAGTATTGCCAGCCAGAGATGCTTACTCAAGCCTTGGCGTTTAGACACTATGGTGGGACTCAGTTATCCAAATATAGTTGACCACCCGCATGTCTGATCTTAGTCTCCAGCTTCCCCCAGGTCAAGTTGATATCACATGATTCAAGGTCCCCTATCATAAATCACATTGTTAGCATAGACTATCTGGCATGTCCCAATGCTCCCAGGTAAACAGACACTCTTATTAGGTAGGACATACCAAGGGCTTAGAAGTTATCTCCCAGGAATCGAGAGAAAAGGACAAGTCTCTCTTAGGGCAAAGTTGTCTTTGTTGAACAGGCCTAGACTTCAGAAACCACTATTCCCAAGATCTCTGACTCACATTCCAGTAGGAAGATTTTCATGTCAAGTCATCATGAGCTAACAGTTATCACCAGGAGGAATATCTACAATTGCATTATTTATTCTTCATTTGAAATTTTTGTAATATATACATTTGCTATTCTTCTATGGCATTCAGAGGCATGTTTTATAATTCAAATTTTAGAACATTTTATTTTTCTTAGACCTAAAGATAGTCACATATTCTGGAACAATTGAATATTGTATATATATTTTATAATATTTGTATATAAAAAAATGTCTGTATATATTCAATAATATATGTATATATGTACACAAATGAACATATTTGTATATATTATATACATATAGAACATATACACATATATAATATGTACACATATATCTACATATGCATATATTTGTGTACATATTATATGAACATATATTAGTGTGTGTATATATGTATATACTATTGAATCACATCAGGTACTGTTAAAGATGAATTTATTCTGACAGGCTGGTTCTTCCAAGATGTTGTTGTGTAGAGTGGGGAAACAATCTGGAGCACTCATCGAATGTTAACTGAGGTGATGATATATGTCTATAACCGAGTTCTTGAAACACAATAAGCAATGCACATGTGGTGCCTATTACCACTATTTAAAATTTAAAATAGAGAATTATGTTTTTCTACCAAAGAATATCTAATAATAGCTAACATTTGTTCAATTAACAAATAGTTTTAAGCCCTTATTATTGTTGTTTTTTTTTTTTTTGTTTTGTTTTGATTTTTTTTGGCCAGGCACGGTGGGAAGGGGATTATTTCACTTCCCTTTCCTGTACAAGTTTTATGTAATAAAATATTTTAAAGAGTGCTGCTTTACTGTGATCACTGCTGCACCTACTGCTTTCTATGGATTATCTCAGGTAATTATTCCACAATGCTAAGGTGTGGGCTTGAATCCAGATGAAAAGACTGAAACAGACATCAAAATTGCACTCCTAGCAGACAAATATACTTCTTTGCTGTCATTACCCAAAATTAAAATTCCTTATATCTGTACATTTAAAAAAATGGATTGATTAATTAGGAAAAGGTAAAGTCAGGGAGGACATGGTGGAAAAGCCATTATATTGACAATTCAATACCACATATGTCAAAGGAATCATTTCCTAGCTAATTGTTTCTCTTTTTTCAACTGGTTTTATTAATCTTTAAAACTGAACCCAGGGAATTTATTTTGTTTAACAAATACAAATCTTAAACAAACAAAATTTGATAAATCCAGGCTCTGTGAGTGACCAAGTAGACGAGATATCTCTGCACAATTTTGTTAAAATCTCTCAACCAAGCCCTTTAAGGTAATCAGAAACACAACTCTAACAGTTTACTTGATTTTGATTTTTTAACTCTGTTAAAAGAAAAACTTCAGCTGAATTAAATTTAAGGGAGTTGAATTGAACAAATATAGACCAATGGAACAGAACAGAGCCCTCAGAAATAATGCTGCATATCTACAACTATTTGATCTTTGACAAACCTGACAAAAACAAGAAATGGGGAAAGGATTCCCTATTTGATAAATGGTGCTGGGAAAACTGGCTAGCCATATGTAGAAAGCTGAAACTGGATCCCTTCCTTACACCTTATACAAAAATTAATTCAAGATGGATTAAACACTTACGTGTTAGACCTAAAACCATAAAAACCCTAGATGAAAACATAGGCAATACCATTCAGGACATAGGCATAGGCAAGGACTTCATGACTAAAACACAAAAAGCAATGGCAACAAAAGCCCAAATTGACAAATGGGATCTAATTAAACTAAAGAGCTTCTGCACAGCAAAAGAAACTACCATCAGAGTGAACAGGCAACCTACAAAATGAGAGAAAATTTTTGCAATCTACTCATCTGATAAAGGGCTAATATCCAGAATCTATGATGAACTCCAAAAAATTTACAAGAAAACAACAAACAACCCCATCAAAAAGTGGGCAAAGTATATGAACAGACACTTCTCAAAAGAAGACATTTATGCAGCCAAAAGACACATGAAAAAATGCTCATCATCACTGGCCATCAGAGAAATGCAAATCAAAACCAGAATGAGATATCATCTCACACCAGTTAGAATGGCGATCCTTCAAAAGTCAGGAAACAACAGGTGCTGGAGAGGATGTGGAGAAATAGGAACATTTCTACACTGTTGGTGGGACTGTAAACCAGTTCAACCATTGTGGAAGACAGTGTGGCGATTCCTCAGGGATCTAGAACTAGAAATACCATTTGACCCAGCCATCCCATTACTGGGTATATACCCAAAGGATTATAAAACATGCTGCTATAAAGACACATGCACATGTATGTTTATTGCGGCACTATTCACAATAGCAAGGACTTGGAACTAACCCAAATGTCCATCAATGATAGACTGGATTAAGAAAATGTGGCACATATACACTGTGGAATACTATGCAGCCATTAAAAAGGATGAGTTCATGTCCTTTGCAGGGACATGGATGAAGCTGGAAACCATCATTCTCAGCAAACTATTACAAGGACAAAAAACCAAACACTGCATGTTCTCACTCATAGGTGGGAATTGAACAATGAGAACACATGGACACAGGAAGGAGAACATCACACACCAGGGCCTGTTGTGGGGTGGGGGGAGGGGGGAGGGATAGCATTAGGAGATATACCTAATGTTAAATGATGAGTTAATGGGTGCAGCACACCAACATGGCACACGTATACATATGTAACTAACCTGCACGTTGTGTACATGTACCCTAAAACTTAAAGTATAATAATAAAAAAAAAACAATTCACAAATCAGGCAGCCTCCAGAATCACAGCAGATTCAGAGGGACTCCAGGGGTACCTTGTGGACAGAACAAATTTATAGACAAGAAAAGCAAAGTGAAGTACAGAAATTGGAATGAAGTACAAAAACAGCTGGATTGGCTACAGCTTGGCATTTGCCTTATTTGAACACAGTTTGAGCATTCAGCAGTGCATGACTGGTTGAAGTATGGCTGTTGAGATTGGCCAAGACTCAGCCACTGTTACAGGCACATACTCCTAAATTAAATTTTCAATATTATCTACTTATTATGTTAGATTGCAGTTCATCCACAAGGACTCAAATATAGAAGTATGGAGTCCTTCTCAGGCCGTATTTAGTTTGCTTTAACAACTCTTACTGTAAATACAGAAGAGCAGGGCACATTAGTATAACCGCTGTGAAAAACAGTATCGAGATTCCTTTAAAAACTGAAAGTAGAACTACCATTTAATCCAGCAATCCTACTACTGGGTAGCTACTCAAAGTAACTCAGGAATGGAAAACCAAATAAATGTTCTCACTTATAAGTGGGAACTCAACTATGAGAATGCAAAGGCATAAGAATAATTAATGTAAAGGACTTTGGGGACTCAGGGGGAATGTTGGGGGTATGAGGGATAAAAAAACTACATATTGGGTATGGTGTACACTGTTCAGGTGATGGGTGCACTAAAATCTCAGAAATCACCACTAAAGAACTTATCCATGTAACCAAAAACCAACTATATTCCCAAAAGCATGGAAATAAAAATTTTTAAAAATCAGCTGATGTAATTTTGACATAAATTATCAGATTCTCCTGGCAAGTATTTTTAAGGCTTCTTTTCATAAATTTGTCAAATGAAAATGTAATCTGATTAGAAGAAACCCTTCTAACTGCAACTAAAATAAGCAAAACACTGTTGCTGCTGTAATAAGGTAAGCCAAAGGGTGATATGGAAAAACATATACTCATAATACCCTATGTAGATAATTAGTATTAAAATGCTCATTAAACTTATATGTTTGGAAGAATTTTCAGGATTTCTGGGAATGAAGGAGTATTCCAGTAACAAACAACAGCCTAAAATATGGTGGTGACAACCAAAATGAGTAACTGAGCATAATAAATCTTAAATCATCAAGGTTTATTGAGCCAGCCTGAGGGTGCACCCGGGAAAAACTCAAGTCACAGGCACATGTGGCTGTTTTGTCCAAAGAGGTTCTCCAGAGGTTTAGTATTTATATATTTTATCTAAAAAGTGGGGAGGAGGGCAGCAGTGAAAGGAATAAAAACATACTGGCGAGACTTGAGTTGGTGTTTGGTAAATCTACTTTTTACGTAAGATAAAGTGAACATTTGAAGAAAAGGAAATAGAGGAAGTGGACATCTCAGGGAGGGATGAAGGAAGGATGAATCTCGTTTTGTCTTTGTTCTGTACCTGGCATGACTTTTGAAAGAGCTGGTTTCTGTCTAGCCCTGAGGGAAGAAAGCCTAATGACACTTAGCAAGGGAGTGGGGATATAACGCATGTCTGATCCCCCATCCCATCATGGTCATGAACTCAGCTTCCAAGGTTTCCATGAGGTTCCTCTTGACGAAGAGAGGGTTGGTTCAGTCATCTGGGGGCTTAGAATTTTATTTTTGTTTCTCAGTGGGCAATTTGAAAAGACAAAATATTTTATTATGTCAAATTTTCTTTCTGGGTGACTTTGAATTCAACAGTGTCAAAGCAAAGTATCTTCTCAAATCTTTATTTTTCAAACTACCTAGGAATTTTATTAGTAAGACTAATTAGATGAATGTCTCTGTTTTAATATGCAAGTTTCTCTTCTTTCATTATGTTAAAAACTGAATAACATTTGGATTTTAGCGCATCAGAATTAAAAATAAATGTTAAATAGACATTTTCATCAGTTTTCAAGTAGATTAGACAATAAATATTTCTCATATAGAAATGCAACAAAGTAAAATACCAGAACTAGGCTTTCTGAAAAAGGACTTTTTCAGATACCAGATATCTGTAACAGCAGTTACAGGATATACACATGAAGGGTCAAAGCAAGGGGAAATTGAGAACCAGGTACAAAATGTATCTAAGAAAACTGTGTGGTCAAAATATAGAAGAATTAGTTCAACAGTTCAACTGTGTGGCAAACACCATTACATGAGCAGAGGTTCCAAAATACAGGCCGCACAAGGAACACTGCTTACAAAAACCAGAGCAGAGCAGTTAAGAATATAGAGGTGAGGTAGCAAAAAAGATGCAGTTGCCTGAAGGCTGAGAGATAATATTGCAGAAAATTTCTCTATCAATTAGTTAGCTAGTGTCTTTTTTGGGTAAATAACAAACCTAGTTTCAGAATTTCCATAAATCAGTACGTGGAGTGGTTAGGTAAATCTTGAGCACAAGGACTATGTCATATGTTCTATTTAATCCCCAGGGTATATTTAGCAAGGTGCCTATCACATAGGTAGTGCTCAATAAATGCTTGTTAAATAAGTGACACCAACCATGAACTTCCTGATGTCATAGTCTCTGTTATATACCACTGTGCTATTCACAGCCCCAAGCACTGTGCTTGTCACAGCTCAGTGAATATTTGTTGAAGGGATGACAGTGATGGCAGTCTTCAAATATTGTCATGAAAGATTAATTTTGCAAGGTTTTCAGGGTGTCAAGCTGTCCCTAGCCTGCTCTGAAATTATTTACAAGGTTTATCAATCCCACCCATTCTCATAGTGAGTTTCAGTTCTTAGTCTCGTATTGAAAAGCTGCTTGTCAAAAATATATTTATCTCTCACTGGCTTTTTAACACTTGGGCTTATTAGCCATGTTGTTTATCAAATAATAAAATTAAAATTTACAGTAACTATTTTCTACCAGTAAATTTTGTTTTCTAATTCACCTGTAATTGCCTTATACTTAAGATTTTTTGGATTCTAAAAGTTGTATTGATTGTAAATTATTTCTTGGATTAGAGAGTAATGCCACTTAGAAAATTAAAACCAGAACTATATTCAAGCACCTTAGACCAAAGTCCAATTTTAAGGCAGTTCTACAAAGCTGAGGTTATGAGTCATGGGCTCAATTTTCACTTTAACCAGCTAGTTTCATACTCTACCCTTCATCTCAGGCAACTTTTTAGCAGCTATGTATTGTTTATCATCAATGACTTAAGGCATAAAATGTGAATGTCAGTAGTGAATATCCATTTTCACTAAAGAAAAAAAATCAAATTGAATGTCCCATTGATGTTAGAGCAATAGCTTCATGATGCAGCACATACAATGTCTTAAAAGCACATTTATTCTGTTTGCACTGAGCTTATCAATTTATTGATAGACCTTGGTACAATATGAAATACAGGAGGACTCAGAAGATGGGCAAAATAATTAATGAAAAATGTTTTCTTTTACATCAGTAAATAATGCTGTAGATCTTCACAGTACATTGGAAGCACATTCTCTTATATGAAGAAATGAGTAAACCTTGGGAAAGTCATTTTATAAAACTTTGTCTTCTTTGGTGCTGTTTGTTTTACATTCTATAAAACAGTGCATTTTGCTAACTAAAGAATACTAACGCTTCCTTCTTTTTCAAAGATTCTAATCTTCTAATTACGTATTCAACTCACATGTATGATTATATCCTGCCCAAAGTCTCTAATTAAGATGCTCAACATTATTCCAGTTCCATTATCCTTTAATTCTATATATCATTCTGATTTTTTTCCCCTGTGTCGGGACCTATGAACAGATCTGATAGTGAGACAGGAAAGGTAGGCTGGCTGTATGTAAGTCAGCCTGTCTATGCTGAGAGCATCCTTTGCCAACCTGCACAAGCACGGTTTGGTGAGCGTTGGACAATCGCTTGTCAGGCATTACTTTCAGTGTGTAATGAGGCAGAGATGAGCCACTTTGTAATATAAAAACAAATGATTAACTGGCAAATAAGCTCAGAAAATGAAATAAACCAAACCTGACAATACAGTATAAGTGGCTCAGGTAGGAAAGATAGCACGGCATCTCATATTATTGATTTTAATTAGCAGGTAGAGTGGACTGAAAAGAAACAAAAGGAACTTCCTTCATAAACAAAAGGTTTTGCTACAATGATTGGTTAAGATTTGCTCCCGTTTTGTAAGGCCAACATCTAGGGCACATAATCTAAGTTGTCTGTCTTCTTTCTCTCTCTCTTCCCCCTCCAACTGTTCTTTCCCTCTTACTTTTTCAAATATAGCTAATTGGGGGATGAAGTGGTGGACACAGGCACAGGGGGCCTAGAAGAAGAAGATTTCGCTATGTATCTGGGTGTTGTGGGTTGGTTGTATTCTGTCTCCCTGCCCCTCACAAAATTCATATATTGACGCATTAATCTTTAATAGTTCAGAATGTGATGGTATTTGGAGATAAGGTCTTTAAAGAGGTAATCAAGTTAAAATTAGGTTATTAGGGTGTTCCTTTTTCCAATATGACTACTGTCCTTATAAGAAGAGGAAATTTGGAAACAAATACAGAGGGAAGACGTGAGAAGACACAGAGAGAATATGGCCAATGGCAAGCCAAAGGGAAAGTCCTGGAACAGATTCTTCCTCAAGGCCCTCAGGAACCAATCCTGCTGACATCTTGGTCTTGGATGGTTAGCCTCCAGAGCTGTGAGAAAATAAATTTCTGTTAGTTAAGTCACCGAGTCTGTGATACCTTCTTTATGGCAGCTCTAGCAAACTCATATACTGTTTTTTTTTTTTTACAGAATTAATTCTTTATCCATCGTCAGTGAGGCTGTACAGTTTTTTCAAGTGAGATTGTCTCCAACTGAGAGTCAAAGTATGTGCTTCTAATGCAAAAAGCACTGTACCCTCTGGTGCCTATATTGAACTGTTGAAGGCATTTTACAAGTGAGGCCTGTGTTGAATTTCTGAATATTAGTTGTACCCTCATCCTGGTTTAATATCCCTTTGGAAAAAAATCTGGTCATTTAAACTTGCCAGTAACTAAAATGGAGAAGGTATCCACATAGATGACAAAACCCAAACAATTCTTCTGCCTCTAGGGAAGTAACCAAACCAGGAGTGGTTACTGTGGCAGGTTAAAGATGGTTACAAATTCCTGACCATTCCTACCACCCAGAGATGGAGATCATTTGTGTACTTGCCAAATCTGGCTGAGCCAATAAAATATGATGGAAGTGACATTATGCCCGTTCCAGCCTAGTCTTTCAGAGGACTGGAGGCTTCCATTTCCTCCTTCTTGAATGGCAGTCACCATGTAAGAAATCCAACTCCTCTGAGACTGCCATGCAGTGGGAAGCCCACCCTATCTTCACAGGGTGAGAAGGGCACGTGGACAAGCCTGAGTTGCCACATATGTGAGAGAAATCTTTGTGGCTCTTCCCACCATCACAGCCATTATCCAAGGACAGGGGAGTGACAGACTGTAGCCAACAGCACAAACTGAGGTCACACATATGACCCTGCCTTTGTCAGTTCAGGCTACTATAATGAAAGACCTTACACTGGGTAGATTATAAAACAAACATTAATTTCTCACAATTCTGGAGACTGAAAAGTCCAAGATCAAACTGCTGACAGTTTCAGTGTCTAGTGAGGGCCCACTTCTCAGTTCATACTCCCAAGGGCCCTGCCTCCAAATTCCATCACAATGGGAATATGATTTCAACATACAAATTTTGAAGAGACACAAACATTCAGTCCATAACAGGCCCCAAGCAAACCATTTTAGCCAATCCACAGGTGTATGAGTCACCCCAACTGACCCCACCTGACTCTATGAGGCAGAGGGGAGCTACTCTCCACATTTCTGACCCTCAGACTTGGGAGCAGAGATTTGGAGTACTTTTTTATGCAGAAAAAGGTAAGTGAAACAAATAAGCTATTGAGGCTTTATAAAGATGTATTTAGAAACAGTTTTTATGCCATGTGTCTTGAATATAAATAGTTTTGTATCAGAGAAAAAGAAAGCATCTGTGAAACCAGATAAATGTTGACAGATTAGGAGCTCTCAAGTAAGTGTGAATTTTTATTTGATTCAGTTTCACTCTTGGGTTCTGCAGTGTTAAATAGAACGTTCAATAGCGTTACAGTTCTGTCACTAACTTGGGAACCTCTCTGTAAGGGAATTTCATTAATGGATCCCTTTGGTTGTGACCACAGCCCTTTGGACCTGGTAGGCAGTTTGGAGATTAGCTAGCTTGACTTGACTTTACCCAGCAGAAAGGAAGGCTTAGAGAGTTTAAGTGACTTGCCCAATGTCATAGGACCTATATTTGACTTGGGCAAGATCTCGGATCACCTGACATGCAAGGCAGAGTGCAGAATCTGCAATACAATTTTATGAAACTTCTAAATTATTAAAGATGATCCTTTTAGTAATTCCCATATTTAAAAATTCTACAAAATTCAACATTAGGATGCACCAAGATCTTCATCTTTGTCCAGCACCTTATTGCCACTATGTGTGTGCATACATATACACACACACATACACGCGTGTATATACAGACACATATACATGTGTCTGTATATACACACACATACATATATTTCAATATGTACTTGTTCCTAGTTTAACTTTTGCATGTGCATATATAAACATACTAATTGTTATAATATGGACATTTTTTCTGTGCATAATGTATTAGTGTCATGAAGTAGGGTACAAAACTTGGAGAATTTCTGGAAAGAGTTCAATGTAATGGAGATTGGTAAGCTATTAATATAATAAAGGCCACTTGTATCAGGCATTACTGAAAGAGAAAGACCTGCCCCATCAGTTTAAACCCAATCTTCAGAGGCTGCCAGCCATGTGCAACCAGAGATGATGTATTCCACTGTGTAGCTGGAGCTCTGACGATACTGTGATGGGAGTCAGTCGGGACCTCTGTGTAGAAAGACTGAAATTACTTCCACATTACAGTGAACACAAAAGAACAAAAACCTTATTAAACACAGATTTAGCTCATTATTCTATAAATCTCTCCCTGAAAACGAAGCTAATCCTTTGTCTCCGAATATTAAACACAACACTGATATTATAGTGAAGATAGGGATAATACCCTCCTCTATGTCTTGGCTCACCTCTGTCATATCAATGAGGAAAACATGTAATTGCTGTGGCTAATGCCTGTGAATAAGAGGGGCTGCCCACTAGATCTGGAGTCAGATTCCTCTATCTGGTTAGCTAAACCATCTTTCCTGAAAAATCTTTCCAGACTGATCTTCACTCAAAAGGCCTTCAGTGCAAGTTAATCTGGGGTTTCAAGTTGCAGAGGTCTTGGATGGCAAACGTTATGTTTGTATTCTTTAGTAATTATATTTGACTAAAAACACATTTGCCACTGGCTCTGCACTCAGATTAGGAACTCCTCAGGACCAGTGTCAACACCTCAGTAAGGCCCCTCAATTCACACAGGATTGGAGAGTAGCTTAGATTTATGTACATCTGCCTTTTTCCCCAATAAATACATTTGTTCATGGATATAACAGAATCTCCTCTATTTCTGATGATGTTATGTGCTTAAACTTTTATTAAGTACCATTTTTCCCTTTTAGAGAGTTGGGCATGAATGTTTTGTATCAGGAGCTGTCCAGTAAAGTTTAGGACTAACTCAAACCTGGGTCTATTCCCAGACAAAGTTGAAAATGGAAAAAGTGTAATTCTTACAATAATTAGTCATTGCCTTCATCACTTAAACATAAAAGCAAAGTTTTTGATTGATATTTGGTATAAGGGGTGGAAAGAAAGGAAAATTAATAACAATCAAGAGACAGAGAAAGAGAACAACAACAAAAAAGAAACAAGATAGAATTAATGAATAAGGGCTAGAAAACCAAGATGTTCTTAAACTCTAACTATGCTTTTTTTCCTGTTGTCAGCTGCTTTATTACTGCCAAACATTTTCTCCATTGGATTTTTTCCATTAAATATAATTGGTAACACAACACAATAGGACTGGACAGATGAGGCCAATTTTATTCCCTTATCTAAATTCATACTCGATGTTCTAACAGCTGGGCTCATACAAATTAATTAAACAAATAGCGGCTCCAAATTTTTTTTTTTTCAGATATGAGATGGAAGGCAGCTTGCTAGGAACCAATCATGGATATTGAAATCACATTCAGAGTGGGAAAAAATTCCAAATGTTTTTACTAATGTTGCCTCTTTACCTATAAACCAATATAGATATAAAAGTAAATTCTCCTTATCAGGCTATTGCCATTTTCACAGAAGAATTTTCATTTTATGTTGAATTATATCCTCTATTTTTTGATATTTATTTAGGAAGAAGGTGATGAGTTAAAACTGCTGGTTTTTCATCAACAGATCTAGATGTCTTTCAGGTCACAAGCAAAGAATGTAGGATTTTCTTACCCCCATGGACTAATTTCTGCATAAATTACTGTACATTTTCCAGTCTCAAAGGTTACTGTAACCTTTGAGTTGCCAGTAACAAAGGTTACTGTGCTTTTAGACAAATGAGATCAAGTAAAGTGGGAAGAGAAAGGCCTCAGGTCTGTATGTTCAGTGACACTGCACACGGAGTAGCTGTACTCATTCAGTTACCAGTTTCTTCCTATTCATCCAGTTAGCCTGGGGCAGATACCTGTGCCATTTTCCCATGTATATATTACCTTTCCCAACTACCTATCTTCTTCTTCTCAAATACTGTCAGTTTATAAACATCTTATCAGTTTTGAAGGACTATTTTAAAAACAACCTTTTTATGATGAAAGACTTTATCATCTGGATTCTGATAATACACAATAACAATCATTTTTAAATTAAAAAAATTCTTAGATGTTGCAAATGATATACTGAAATAATTTGAATAAAATAAAAATGTCAAAAAGAAGATCAAATCCAGAAGCTAAAAATCAATAAATTGAAATGTATAAAGATATAAAAGTTCTCTCTGGAAAGTGTATCACATATCACAAAGTTTCACTTCATTTTTTCTATTGATTTTGTAAAAATTACTGAGAAACTTGAATAATTCAATATAAAACTATGCAAAAGTATGAAAAAGTAGTTCACAGAAAAAGCAATTTGTGTAATGAACAAAACATAAATATTACTTCACCTATTACAAAAGATCTAACTCAAATTGACTTATTGTTTTCATTTGTTGTATTAGTCAAAATCCAAAAGTTGAAAGTATCTACTCTTTCCTGCAACAACACTAAGCAATATGTTGGGGTGGTTAACACCATACAGCTGAACTGCTTATGTTCATAGTGTAGCTTCATTATTTATCAGCCACATGATTTTGGCTAAGTGATTTAGGCACTCTACTGTGTTTCAGATCCTTCTCTTTAAAATATGGGGCTGGGCATGGTGGCTCAGTCTGTAATCCCAGCACTTTGGGATGCCGAGATGGGAGGATCACCTGAGGTCAGGAGTTCAAGACCAGCCTGGGCAGGAACATGGTGAAACCCCATCTCTACTAAAAATACAAAGAAATTAGCCTGGTATGGTGACACATGTCTGTAATCTGAACTACTTGGGAGGCTGAGGCAGCAGAATCTCTTGAACCCGGTGGGCAGAGGTTGCAGTGAGCTGAGATCCTGCCACTGCACTCCAGTCTGGGCAACAGAATGAGACTCTGTCTCACAAAAAATAGATAAATAAAAATTTAAAAAATAAAAATAAAGGCCGGGTGCGGTGGCTCATGCTGTAATCCCAGCACTTTGGGAGGCCGAGGTAGGCAGATCACGAGGTCAGGAGATCGAGACCATCCTGGCTAACATGGTGAAACCCCGTCTCTACTAAAAATACAAAAAATTAGCCAGGCGTGGTGGTGGGCGCCTGTGGTCCCAGCTACTCGGGAGGCTGAGGCAGGTGAATGGCGTGAACCCGGGAGGCGGAGCTTGTAGTGAGCCAAGATCGCGCCACTGCACTCCAGCCTAGGTGACACAGCGAGACTCCATCTGAAAAAAATAAATAAAAAATAAAAAAATAAAAATAAAAAATAAAATAAATATGTGTAGCGATATAATGTCTAAAGCAGAGTGAGGATTAAATGAGTTAATACATGTCAAATGTCAAATATAATAAGTTGTGTTTAGCAGTGACCACTCTGGAAAGTTAGCTATTGCTGTCCACTTTGGGAGACAAATTTTATACAACATATATACAAAAAAAATTAGCAATGTTCATCAACATTTTAAATGACAACACTCCTTTACCTAAGAACTAAACTTCTGAAAACTTACCACATAGATTTGATAGAAAAACAAAAATGAGATAGAAAAGATACAGATTGCAGCTTTCTCATTGCACAATATAGATCTAGTATCATAGCATATAAATGAGAAGGAATGTTTTGTTTAAGTAAGTTGAGACTTTAATATAATGGAAAACTATGCAGACTGAAGCTTTCAAAAAATGTGATAGAACCATCTAAGGATATGGAAAGAGTCCCCAAAGTGTCATTAAGTAAAAGAATAGATGTGTAAGATAGGATATGTGCATGGTCTCTTTGGTGTAAATAGAAGGACACATATTACACATAGTGGTATGTGTCTATTTTTATTTGGAAGAATAAACAGCAAATTAATCCTGGTTAGCTTTGCAGACAAGTACTAAGGAGGTGACGAAGATTTTCTTTTCATAATTTTATACCTTTCCTAAGTTTTTGAATTCTCTAATCAGTAAAAGTTCATGCTTCAATTTAAAATCACCAGAGATTATCTGGTAGGTGAGATTGTAGTCTGCTTTTATTAATTTTCAATATTAAAATATATTTGAGGGCAAAAAGAAATCTACCTAAAGAACTTAAAAATTCTAAAAATGTGTTATATGACAGTACCACATTTATTATTCTCTTTTAGAAACATAATCCAGTCTTTTGAGTTTAAATTTTTATAAACTAAGAATATTATGTAATGTTATATGCAAAAAAGCAGTATATAAATTTACATGTAGACTGATTATGACTAAATGGAATATTCATGTTAAAAAATGAATACTGGTTAAAAAATCATCTTAAATGTATAAATATATGCAGAAGATATATGCAAAGTAAAAATTTCTTACATTGGAGTAGTATTTTAAAAATAATTACCATACAAATATGAAAAATTGTAGTTATATGTTCATATAATTTTATTGGTATGTCTAAATTTAAACCAATTCCTAATTAGAAAACCAATTAAGAAGAATGAGGCTATTTTGATAACAAAAATTGAAATCAGACATTATTTGATGACAGATAAGATCTTATATCAACCTCAGCATTTATGAAATGTATACAAAACATTGGTGGTTTAAACTGAACTTTGATTTAACTTTCAGGAATTATTGTGTTTTATAAAACAGACTTTTAGTTTGTACTCTTCAGATGGGCATTTGGTCAATATTGCAGTTGGGATATTTGCATGTTCACTTCTTCCACTAGCTCATAAGCTCCTTGAAGAGAGCAGCACAGAATTAATGCAAACATGAACTTTGGAGCCATATCCAGGTTTGTATCCCGGTTCCTTCCTTTTCTGGAAGGGGTGTGACCATGACTGGATTATTATTTCTCTTAGCCTCTCAGCCTCATGTGTGAATGGAGGGACATTAAGCCTTTCTCACAAGATTTTCTAAAGCATTAAATGAAATGATATGTTAGTAGAAAAGCAATTAGTTCAAAATAAAGTCCATACCCCAAAACCTCAAAACCTTTTCCCCTTTAAATATGTTGACATTGTCCCAAAGTCTTTTTAAATTATTAAACATAGTAGGTATTTAATTCATATTCTCCACATGATAGAATTAAGGGATCCTGTAGAACTTATATCTCTTTTATATTCAAGAAGCATAAAGTGGAGTCATCTTGGATCAATAGCAACAGTAAACTAATTTTTTTAAAACAAAACACCTATTCCAAAAATTTCTTGGCAATTTGATAAGCTTGCTGAAGATGAGATGGATTGGATGAGAAAAAAAATATAAACTTTCTGCAAATTTGAAGAGAAATCCAGATGCTCTAGCCAGTGAAACAGTTGTCAATGATTTTGCCATTCATACCCCACCCCTTGAATGCACACCATAAAATGACACAATGGTGTATTTTGTTTTCTTGAAAGCAATTAACTGTAAGTCCTGCACTGATGTTTATGTTAGATTCCCCAGACTCTAACAGAGGTAATGCTGGTATGGGGAAGGTAAAGAATGTGTAGATATGCTGAGTGTCAGTAGTGACGGCCACATTTTCAGTAATGATGGTCTCAGTTCCTGCATTCACTGAAGGCAAAGCAAAGGAGTATGTGGGGTGGGAATACTGGACACAGACAAAGTCTCTTTATTGATTGTTTTCTCAAAAGATTCTCAGCTTTTGGTAGTTTTTATAACAATAAAGGAAGTTAAAGAACACTAATGAACACAACCTAAAATGCAGTTGATTGCATTGTCTTAAGTACAGAAACTAAAGCCTACAGACTTCACTAAATAGATTTCCTCAACTAAAAACACCACATCCACAGATATTTTTTAAATAAAGATTAGTATCTTCCTTCCTTCCTTCCTTCTCTTTTTCTTTATTTCTTTCTCTTCTTTCTTTTTGAGAAGGGTTTCTCAGAGCATGGGTGTAGACTTTTATTGTGTTTAATCTCCGTATTCAGAACTAATATGCTTATATTGCTATTTTGGACATACATCTATACTCTGTCACCCATGCTGGAGTGGCACAATCATAGCTCACTGCAGCCTTGAATTCCTGGGCTCAAGTGACCCTCCTGCCTCAGCCTCTGGAATAGCTGGCACTATAGGTGCACACTATCACACTCAGCTAATTTTTTAAATTTTTGTAGAGACAGGGTCTCACTTTGTTGCCCAGGCTTAATTTCTATTTTCTAAGCCAAAAAAAAATGTGTTTATTCTCACTAAAATATCAACTTAAATGTTCTGAAATTATAATTCTGAGTGATTATCTTTCATTAAAATATATAAAATGTGAGACTAAGTAGCAGGAGGCAAAATTGCTGTATTAAAGATTACTCTCTTAACATTTTTATGATTGAATGTTTAGGCATATCAGCTGTCTCTTAATTTATCAAAATAGGTATTATAGTGATCATTCTGTTTGGAACTTCATTTACTCTCTTCTCTAATAGATTGGTATGCATAAATTATTTTAGCATTAAATCATAGAACTTAAATGTTTGAAGGTAACCTGAAGATCACCTATTAAAGGACTCAGCTTCAGAAGGAAGAAACTGAGCTCCAAAGTAGGTAATGTTTTACAACTGTCAGTGGTGTGGCAGGACAAACACCAGGATCACCTCTCTCTTACTTTTATATGTTTCCTAATAGCATTATTTTATTTAATTCTTTGAGACAGTCCTTTTGACCCTTTAAAAAGCCTGAAAAAAAAAAGGCCATAGAGATTTAGAATACCAATATCCTGATTAAAGAAAATTTGGATGTAAGCCTGATTGCATTCATACAATATAAATACATCTTTGGAGAGTTAAACTTTGGAAAACAAATTTTTAACAAAATACATTTTACATTGTTAAACCAGGCCATCCATATAGCTATCAAAATTTAATTAATGCAAGGAAAGCTTAAAAGTAATAACAAATATTTAAATATATTTATCTAGAATTATTTGATGCAATTTCTACACTAATGGCTCCCTCTTACACAGTACAAAACAAAATTGTTCTTTAAAAAATGTCATTAGATAGCCTAATTTGTCTCAGAGAAACCTGTGGCATCTAAGAGTTCATTGTTGACTTTTTCTTAGAAATTTATTTTTAAATTAGGGTTAGGATATTATGGAGTATTAAGAACAATGTACTCATAACGTAAGACTATGGGCTTGGTATTCCTGAGACAGAAGTAGTAGATAGGCACTGTCCAAATGTTTAGGATTCTAGATGTTGCCCCTTGCTTTCATTAGATTACAGTCCAGCAGGAAGCCTGACATGTAAATAATGAATTCAGTGAAGTGTCATGTCAGAAGTATGCCCAATGGACAATTAGGTCTAAAATTAGAGAACAGTTGAATATATCTGCCTTTTAACTTCTCTCAGTTCAATTATCCTCAACTATAAAATAAGATTAGATTGCATCAATGCTGGACTCTAACCTCAACTCTAATATCTGTTGATTTTGTGAGTAAGTATTTCCAGTTTTACATAAAATTAGTCCACATCAAATATAGCTCTTTATACATTAGACAAGTCCCTGTGCGGGCCAATCTTTCATCAGAATAGTTCAGAAGCCTAGTATTATCTTCTTTAAAGGGAATGCTTCCTCCATCTATGACTATATAACCTAATTTATTACATATCAGGGCTAATATAAACAAGGTCACAGGTATGTTCTCCACCGTTAAGCCAGTCAGTTTCATTTGGTTCACAATTATAAACTTTTTGTTATCAGTCAACTGACTTACATATGCATGCCCATAGTGTTATAAAAATGACCTGTCAGGAAAGTGAAGATGGATTAATGTCACTCTCTTACCATTTTCAGCAAAAGCACTGTAAGTCACGTCTCTACTTCCAGACATGTGGAAAGTTCTCCCTGTCATTGATTTTTTTTGTTTGTTCTCCTATTATATAAGAAAATGGTACAGAAGAAAAAACTTTGGTGTACATAATTGTCATGATTGTTTAGTCTAGAAATTATTTGAGAAACAAGTCATTATGTTAGTCAGTGGAATTCTGTTTCCCCTATGAGTGTACTTTAGAGCAGGCAAATATGCTCTCTAAAATTGATAAGTCCAAAATAGCAATATAAGCATATTACTTCAGAATATGGAGATTAAACACCATAAAAATCTAGACAGTTGAAATTGGTTTAATCTTTGGGGAGTAACTGGGGCTAAATTAAGGTAGAACCATGAAGTTTTGCATTTAAATATGAGCCTTCAGTACTGTTTTATTTTAATTGTGTGTTATAATGTAATACAAATTACATTATGACATTGTATGTGCAAACCGACAACAATGTCGAGTAAAGAAGTAGAATTTGACCAATAAAGATAGAAAGTAAGAAAAATACTTGGTCTTGCATAAAAGTCACAGATGTTAGTCCTTCCTAAATTAGAAAAATAAAAGGGGGGGGTGTTGTGTGAGGGAATTTAACCTAAACCCCAATAGAAATTGTTTAAAGGCAGGCACTTAAAATATAAATAAAGAGATGAGAATAGCCCACTGTAAACCAGCTTGAGCTATATGAAGGGGAGAAAAACACTGTCATTGATTGCAATGTAATAGGCTATCTCATAATACCAAGAATAATATAAAATCAAGTTTAAGGGACTAAATAATCAGGGAACTCTTAGAAATCTCTACAGCAGAAATTTGTGGATCTTCATTCTACAACAAGCTTGTCTATCCCACGTCCCTTGGCCCGCACATGACCCAGGATGGCTTTAAATGTAGACCATCACACATTTGTAAACTTTCTTATAATATTATGGATTTTTTGTGTGTGACTTTTTTTTTTAGCTCATCAGCTATCATTAATGTTAGTGTATTTTATATGTGGCCCAAGACAATTCTTCTTCCAATGTGGCCCAAGGAAGCCAAAAGATTGGACACTGCTGCTCTGCAGCCTCACCTTTACCTTGGTTTAGGTATTAACAAGAGTTATTGTGAAAGACAACCGGAGAAAGAGTGAGAGAGAGAGAGCACAGAAGGAGCAATGGCACAAACTTTTACTCAAACCTGCTTAGGATCCAGATTGAAACAAACCAATTTAAAAAGATAAACTGAAAAAAATGAGAAAATTTTTAATGCTATCTAATATTAGATAATATCAACAAATAATGTCTTTAATTTTACAAGATGTTAATAATGTCATAGTGGTTATGGTAGAAAATGTTTTTATCTTTTGGAGATACATACTGAATTATGTATGGATATGTCATGATATCTAGTATGTGTTTTAAAATACTCTAGCCCAAATGGAGAAACTAAAAAAATCACAATAGAGAAGAAAAAATAAACTTTAAAAATGTGGAAAAATTGTGATGGTTGAATGTAGGTGAATTGTGTATAGGGATTAATTATACTATTTTTATCTATGTTTGCATATTTTAAATTATTTATAATAAAGCATTTTTAAAATCTCGCTGAAAATGAGCCCAGATACTAAATAAATAATATAGAAAGATAATGAATGCTAATAAATATCTCACCAAAAACACAAATAAATAGCCTTCATAAAACTGGTTCTGAAACAAAAGCAGGAAGAAATATGATCAGAACTGGTGGATATGAAAAATCATTTTTAAAATCTTTTGGAAATAAAACTAAATCACAAAATCAATAAGCAGAATAAATTCTAGGCTGTAGACTATATAACACAAAGAAGTAAAATAAATTGCAAGAGAGTATGAAAGAATTTTGTAGGAATTCCAGAGAAATTAAAATTTCAAGAGCATTTAAGAGACAAGAAAAATAAAATGGGAGGATTTTAAAATCAGACCAAAAAAAGTTCCAACAGAATAAAACGGACAAAATGGCACAAAAACAGTCTTTGAGAATACGTACTTAAGAACCATTATAGAAAAGCTAGAGTGAGGACTCACATTGAAACATGATTCAGAATCAAATGATATAAATAAAATGACATGTAGTGGGAAGCTGCAACCATCAAGGATAAAGAGAAAGAAAAATCCTCAAAGTTAATATACTGCAAAGGTACATTCCTGGTTGTATCAGTTAATCATTATTGAATGCATTTTTTATTTTTGTTGTTGTTTTTTTAAGTAGTGACTATCAAATAAGGCTTTCAAAAATCATTTATTTCAATAGGAATGAGATATATAGAAGTAGGCAGTACTGGTCTAAATAGAGTGGGTTCACAATGCCATGAAGGATCTAGCCTCCTTCTCTTAAAGTATGATTTTAAAAAGAAAAAAATAAAGGGTATTTTGAGAAAATGTGTAGTGCCATTAATAAATTAAATAATTATGTAGAAGTGTCAGAGGCATTGGAACCAGAGTGTGTGACTCCATTTTTAATAGGGGTGCATAAAATGAGGCTGAGACTTGCTGGGCTGCATTCCCACCAGGTTAGGCATTCTTAGTCATAGGATGAGTTAAGAGGCCTGCACAAGACACAAGTCCCAAAAACTCTGCTGATAAAACAGGATGCCGTAAAGATGCCAACCCAAAACCTGCAAAACCAAAAAAAACAAGATGGCAATAAAAGTGACCTCTGGTCATTCTCACTGCTCATTACATGCTAGTTATAATGCTTTAGTCTGCTAAAAGATACTCCCACGAGCACCATGAAAGTTTACAAATGCCATGGCAACATCCAGAAGTTACCCTATATGGTCTAAAATGGGGAGGAACACTCAGTTCCATTTCTCACCCCTTTCCAGAAAAACTTATGAATAATCTACCTCTTGTTTAGCATGTAATCAAGAAATAACCAAAACAATAGCCAACCAGCAGCACTCAGGGCTACTATGTCTATGGAGTAGCCATTATTTTATTCCTTTACCTTAATAAACTTGCTTTCACTTTACTCTGTGGACTTGCACAAATTTCTTTCTTGTGTGAGATCCAAGAACCCACTCGTGGGGTCTGGATCAGGACCCCTCTCCAGTAACAGAAGCGAGTATCATGTTTGGAAAAGAATAGTACTAAAAATATAGTAATAATTATTCGTAACATATGTAAGGTGCCTACTGGAGTGTCTGACATATATTTAGCTGTTTAATACATTGCAAAAATTGATATAATGTTCTTCTCCAAATATTTAAAAAGACCATAAATAAATTACATTATTTATAAACTTTGACAAATATTTTCTTAAAAGAAATCACTAAGAAGAGTTGCTCGGCCAGGTGAGGTGGCTCATGCCTGTATTCCCAGCACTTTGGGAGGCCGAGATGAGTGGATCACTTGAGGTCAGGAGTTTGAGATCAGCCTGGCCAACATGGTGAAACCCAGTCTCCACTAAAAATACAATGAAAATTAGTCGGGCATGGTTGTATGCACCTGTAGTTCCAGCTATTCAGGAGGCTGAGGCAGAAGAATCGTTTGAACCCAGGAGGCAGAGGTTGCATTGAGCTGAGATTGTGCCACTGCACTCCAACCTGGGGGACAGAGCGAGGCTTCATCTCAAAAGAAAGGGAGTTGCTCAAAGGCATTTATCTGATATCAGATAGATATTAAAGGAGAAGGTTTTGATTGTGGTAGAGTCTTCTTAACTAAGGCCCAAATGCCATTTTTTCATCTCACATCATTCCAGCAACCAGCATGGCTTTCTGTTAATAGTATATAATTTATCACAGCTAGACACCATGGTATGGACAATAAGTCTACATTTATTTCCGAGGAATTTGAAGATAAGCACCATTTTTCTGTTTTTTTTTTTTCATTCTACCTTAACTTTAAGCAAGCATTGAATAGAAAGAATGCTACAAACCCTAATATTGTAAAAGAACATTGACAAGCAAAGCTTGTCAAAGTTGGTTTTCTTCAATGAATCAGTTTCATTGTGCATCTTTAGATTTCTAAAATTTAAAACTGGAGTTATCTGAGTGTTAGCAGTGAAGAATCCCTATAGGCCTGCGGCAACTTGATTCTCACCTCCTCAGAGGAAAGAATTTGGCTGAGGGGCATAAGGCAGAGTGAGAGGCTGAGGCAAGTTTGAGAGCAGGAGTAAAAATTTATCGAAAAGTTTTAGAGCAGGAATGAAAGGAAGTAAAGTATACTTGGAAAAAGGCCAAGCGGGCTACTTGAGAGATCCTATTGCACTGTTCAGCCCTTAACTCATGGGATTTTATACATTGGCATGGTTCTGGGGTTTCTGTTTTTCTTCCCTTGATTTTTGTCTTGAGGCAGGCTGTCTGCATATGCAGGGACATGCCAGCACTTGGGAGGGGCCACATGCACAGTGAGTTTACTGAAGTTGTGTTCATGCTCATTTGAGGCATTTGTCTCTTACCAGTTGAGCATTCCTAGAGGAAGGTAATATACTGGTTAAACTCCTCCATTTTGCCTCTTAGTGCACATGCTTAAGCTCTCTTGCCCAACTCCTGAGATCTTATCAGGCAGCTGCTGATCACCAGCTTCAGGTGTTTTCTGTCTATTGGGAGACTGCCTTTCTTTGGTGCTGGCTGTCACTAATTACTACTTTTAAAAGACAGTATAACAACTCCCTGACCATTACCTGATGGTCGGTGGATATTCTAGGGGGTCAGGAGACATCATCTGCCTTGTTCATATCTGCCTAGTTACCTACTCTAATAAGAGGTTTCTTTTGTTATTCTTGCTGCTGTTGTTCTGATTACTACTATTGATTTACATTATAAAAGGTTCTTGTGCCACTTTAAACGTTATTTTGTAACCTAACACAAACCTTAATCAATAATTGAAACATTTAACTAAGCCATATCTCTAACTCAATTTTTTAACTTTTTACTAAATTTTTTAAATTTGTGTTTGCAAAATCTATTATGATAATAATGTCAGAGCTCCTTGTTCATATTTGATTATATGAGATAAAAGTTTGAATATTTCATGCTTCATATAATCTCTTACGCTGACAGGTTCATGAAGCCCCAGTTTGCAGGCCAAATAAATGGTAATCCAACCAGAGGTTTTAAAGTTTTAAACAGATACTTCCAATCTCAGACTATCCAATTTTTATATATATGCAAATTACTATGTTTTAATGATACAATAGTGTACTAATACATTATTCTTTTTTTCTTGGCATATTGCTTTCCAGAGTTCATATTATAGAGCAATTTTTACCTATTTATTATGGAAAATAAAAATGACAGTGATAAACAATACTCTTCAGTTTTAAGTTTACCTTGCAAAATACTAGCAATATTTTCTTAGAAGCTATAAGTTAGTTCTAACATAGGAAATAATCCATACATTAAAACTAAAACATAAAATATTTAATCTTTTCAGATTTTTGACATTAGAACAGTAACTGTAACAAAAATATAGCATATTAAGAAAACAGTATATGACTTTCAGTTTCGGCTCTAACATATGACTTGGAAGTTGTCACTCCTGTTCTTACAGCAGGAAAAAAACTGGATAAACTGAAAATCAATGAGTTTTCTTGAACCTATCAAAGAACTGAGGTTTCAGTGCAGCTTCTTCAAACACCTAGAGAGACAGAAGCATCCAGAGAGTTAGAACAGAAGCCACTTCTAAAGCCATAAACCAGTAGGAAAACAGAAATATTAATTGTGATAAATTTCTGCAGGCTAAGTGTGGACAAGAATAAGAGTGAGAAACTCTTGGGGTTGTAGTTGGAAAGGTCCCCCATACTTCTGTGGGCTTTACTTATAGTAACTTCACTGATTTCTTACAGATGTAAAATCCTCTCACAGCTTTGGTTAGGTGAGGGGATAATAAAGTAGTTAAAAAATGCACCAACAGCTTCTCCATAACAAAGGCCTACTCTTTAGAGAAAAATACTTTGCCAGAGCCTTATCTCAGCTGGGAAAGGGAAGTCATCAGGTTTAAGTCTCCCTGAACTTCCTGCTCCACCTAGGGAAAAAAAGCCACTATAGTCAACAGAGATTAGGGCTTCAAGGAAAAAGATTAAGAAGGTTGCAACCAGCCAAGAAAGTAAGAAACAGGAGAAGATAAAACGATACTACTGCAGAAACACTTACGAAGTTCACAGCTCCAAGACGTGAGGTTCACATAAAGACTGAGGTTTAATGAGAATATTAAAAAACATTCTCCTATTTCTTGCCTTACCATAGCACTAACAAATTTCCACTATTATAATAGCTGATTAAAGCCGAAAGAGCTTCTAGCACAGGCTCTACTTTGAGAATAGAACTTAGGGAAACCTAAGTCAAGATGGAGGAGAAAAACAAGAACAACAAGTAATTTGAAGTATCTGACACCTATAGCTACAACACACTTTTAACAGTTCATCCAACCAGCCAGATTGACAACTGCTATTTAACTCAGTTTCTATTACTTGATACAGTATGCCCTGCTCTCAATAAAAAAAATTATAAGACATGCCAAAGGGAAGAAAAAACACAGTTTAAAGACACAGAGCAATAATCAGAACCAGAAGAATATGACACAGATATTAAAATTACTAGACAAGGAATTTTCAATAACTGTCATTAACATAGTAAGTGCCCTAAAGAAAACAGTAGACATCATGTAAGAATAAATGGGTAACATAAGCAGAAAAAATGATACTCTAAGAAAGAATCAAAAGAAAATTATAAATTATTAGGGGTCCTTTGTGGCTCCATTCAAATTTTAGGATTTTTCTTTTGTATTTCTGTGAAGAATGTCATTGGTATTTTGATAGAAATTGCATTGAATCTACAGATTGATTTGGGTAGTACGGATATTTTAACAAGGTTAATTCAATACATGCATGAGATATCTTTTCATATTTGTTATTAGTATCATCTTCAATTTCTTTATCAATATCTTATAGTTTTTATTGTAAAAATTATTCATTTTCTTGGTTAAATTTATTCTCAGGTATGTTTTTAGTAGCTATAGTAAATGAGATTACTTTCTTGATTTGTTTTTCAGATAGTTTATTACTGGCATGCAGAAATGTTACTGACTTTTGTAGCATTTTATATCCTGCAATTCTACTGAATTCTTTTATTTGTTCTAACATTTTCAGTGGAATCTTTAGGGTTTTCTACATATAAGATAATGTTATCTGCAGATAAGGACAGTTTGATTTTCCCATTTCCAATGTGGATGTTCTTTATTTATTTATCTTGCTTAATTGCTCTGGCTAGGACTTTCAGTACTATATTGAATAAAAGTAGTTAAGGTGGGCATCCTTGTATTGTTCCACATCTTAGAGAAAAACTTTCAACTTTTTTCCATTCAAATGAAGTTAGTTATGGTTTGTCATAAAGGTTTTTATTCTGTTGATGTACGTTTCTTCTATACCTAGAGTTTTGAAAGTTTTTATCACCAAGTCATGTTGAATTTTAACAAATGCTTTTTCTGCATCTATTGAAATGATCATATGATTTTTTTGCTTGATTATGTTAATGTGATGTGTCACATTTATTGATTTGTATACATTGAACCATCCTTGCATCCCTGGGATGAATCTCATTTGATTGCAGTGAACAATTTGTTTAATTAACTGGTGAATTTGGTTTGCTTGTAGTTTTTTTTAATATGTCAGCTCCCAGAAAGAGCCTGCTGGCCATGAGAAATCAATGCCCACAGCTAAAGCTGATTTTGCTCTGTCTGTTCTCTATGTGAGCAAAGCATTATTCTATTCTGCTTGACTGCATTGTGTTTTTCTTGGCAACTCTGATACCAAGATGTAGTAGGTAGAAGTGTGCAGACTTCTATTTCCAATAATAGGTGACAGATTCTACTCACTCAACAGTAGATATTAATCCAATTGTATTAACAATCATTCTAAATGTAAATGGTCTAAACACACCAATTGAAAGATATGTATTTTCAGCATGAAAAAAACAAGTTTCAACTATATGTTGTCTACAAGAAACATACTTTAAATATAGAAACTAAAGAAGGCTAATAGTAAAGAGATTTTAAAAAGACTAATAGACTAATACTAATCAAAATATTACTGGAGTAGCTACCTTAATTTCAGATACAGCAAACTTCAGAATAACAACAAAAAAAAGTGAGTAAGAAGGACATTACTTAATGAAGAGGTCAAATATTCAGAAAGACATAACGACCCTAAATGTGTATATGCCTTACAACAGAACTTCAAAATACATGAGACAAAAGTGATAGAATTGAATGAATAAACAAATCCACTATTATAACTGGAGAATTTGAAATATCCAGTCTGTAATTGGCAGATAAAGCCGGCAGAAAATAAGCAGCATATAGGTGATCCAAACAGCACTAACAATCTTGATCTAATTGACATTTATAGAATATCCCATCCAGCAACAGTAGAATACACCTTATTTTCAAGTTCACATGAAATGTTCACCAAAACAGATCTCATTCTGTGTCATAAAACACACTTTAATAAGTTCAAAAGAATAGAAATTATACAAAGTATTATTCTCTGAGCATGATGAAATTAAACTAAAAATCAATAACAGAAATATAGCTGGAAAATCCCCAAGTATTTGGTAATTAAACAATATACTTCTAAATAACTCATGAGTCAAGAATTCCCAAAAGAAATTTAAGCATATTTTGAACTAAATGAAAATGATAATTAGAGCTGAAATCAATGAAACTGAAAATGGAAAACAATAGAGAAAATCCATGCAACCAAAACTGTGTTCTTTGAAACAATTGATTGATAAATTTCTAGTCAAACTAAGCAGAGAAAAAAGAAAAGACACAAATTACCATTGTCAGAAATGAAAGAGGGATCATCACTACTGATATCATGGATATTAAAACAATAATGAAAGAATACTATAAACAACTCTATAATCATAAATTTTATTCCTTAGATGCAATAAGTAAACAGCTAGAAGAACATAAATTGCCAAAATTTACACAAGGAGAAATAAAGAACTCGGATATCAGGGGTGGAGCCAAGATGGCCTAATAGGAACAGTTCCAGTCTACAGATCCCAGTGTGAACAACGCAGAAGATGGGTGATTTCCGCATTTCCAACTGAGGTACCAGGTTCATCACACTGGGGAGTGCCAGACAGTGGCTGCAGGACAGTGGATGCAGCACACCGTGTCTGAGCTGAAGCAGGGCGAGGCATCGCCTCACCCAGGAAGCACAAGAGGTCAGGGAATTTGCTTTCCTAGTCAAAGAAAGGGGTGACAGACAGCACCTGGAAAATCAGGTCACTCCCACCCTAATACTGCACTTTTCCAACGGGCTTAACAAACGGCACACCAGGAGGTTATATCCCTCACCTGGCTCGGAGGGTCCTACACCAACGGTGCCTCCCTCATTGCTAGCACAGCAGTCTGAGATCAAACTGCAAGGCTGCAATGAGGCTGGGGGAGGGGCGCCCACCATTGCCGAGGCTTGAATAGGTAAACAAATAAGACTGGAAGCTCGAACTGGATGGAGCCCACCACAGCTCAAGGAGGCCTGCCTGCCTCTAGGCTCCACCTCTGGGGGCAGGGCACAGACAAACAAAAGGCAGCAGTAACCTTCACAGACTTAAATGTCCCTGTCTGACAGCTTTGAAGAGAGTAGTGGTTCTCCCAGCACACAGCTTGAGATCTGAGAACGGGCAGACTGCTTCCTTACGTGGGTCCCTGACCCCCGAGTAGCCTAACTGGGAGGCACCCACCAGTAGGGGCAGACTGACACCTCACACACGGCCAGGTACTCCACTGAGACAAAACTTCCAGAGGAACAATCAGGCAGCAGCATTTGCTGTTCAACAATATTCACTGTTCTGCAGCCACCACTGCTGATACCCAAGAAAACAGGGTCTGGAGTGGACCTCCAGCAAACTCCAACAGACCTGCAGCTGAGGGTCCTGACTGTTGGAAGGAAAACTAACAAACAGAAAGGACATCCACACCAAAAACCCATCTGTACGTCACCATCATCAAAGACCAAAGGTAGATAAAACCACAAAGATAGGGAAAAAACAGAGCAGAAAAACCAGAAACTCTAAAAATCAGAGTGCCTCTCCGCCTCCAAAGGAATGCAGCTCCTCACCAGCAACAGAACAAAGCTGGAAGGAGAATGACTTTGACGAGTTGAGAGAAGAAGGCTTCAAGAGATAAAACTACTCAGAGCTAAAGGAGGAAGTTCGAACCAATGGCAAAGAAGTTAAAAACCTTGAAAAAAAATTAGACCAATGGCTAACTAGAATAACCAATGGAGAGAAGTCCTTAAAGGACCTGATGGAGCTGAAAGCCATGGCACGAGAACTACGTGACGAATGCACAAGCCTCAGTAGCCGATGCGATCAACTGGAAGAAAGGGTATCAGCGACGGAAGTTGAAATGAATGAAATGAAGTGAGAAGAGAAGTTTAGAGAAAAAAGAATAAAAAGAAACAAACAAAGCCTCCAAGAAATATGGGACTATGTGAAAAGACCAAATCTACATCTGATTGGTGTACCTGAAAGTGACAGGGAGAATGGAACCAAGTTGGAAAACACTCTGCAGGATATTATCCAGGAGAACTTCCCAAATCTAGCAAGGCAGGCCAACATTCAAATTCAGGAAATACAGAGAATGCCACAAAGATACTCCTCAAGAAGAGCAATTCCAGGACACATAATTGTCAGATTCACCAAAGTTGAAATGAAGGAAAAAATGTTAAGGGCAGCCAGACAGAAAGGTCAGGTTACCCACAAAGGGAAGCCCATCAGACTAACAGCTGATCTCTCAGCAGAAACTCTACAAGCCAGAAGAGAGTGGGGGCCAATATTCAACATTCTTAAAGAATTTTCAACCCAGAATTTCATATCCAGCCAAACTAAGCTTCATAAGTGAAGGAGAAATAAAATCCTTTACAGACAAGCAAATGCTGAGAGATTTTGTCACCACCAGGCCTGCCTAAAAGAGCTCCTGAAGGAAGCACTAAACATGGAAAGGAACAACTGGTACCAGCCACTGCGAAAAACATGCCAAATTGTAAAGACCATCAAGGCTAGGAAGAAATTGCATCAACTAACGAGCAAAATAAGCAGCTAACATCATAATGACAGGATCAAATTCACACATAACAATATTAACCTTAAATGTAAATGGGCTAAATGCTCCAATTAAAAGACACAGACTGGCAAGTTGGATAAAGAGTCAAGACCCATCAGTGTGCTGTATTCAGGAAACACATCTCATGTGCAGAGACACACATAGGCTCAAAATAAAGGGATGGAGGAAGATCTACCAAGCAAATGGAAAATGAAGAAAGGCAGGGGTTGCAATCCTAGTCTCTGATAAAACAGACTTTCAACCAACAAAGATCAAAAGAGACATAGAAGGCCATTATATAATGGTAAAGGGATCAATTCAACAAGAAGAGCTAACTATCCTAAATATACATGCACCCAATACAGGAGCACTCAGATTAATAAAGCAAGTCCTTAGTGACCTACAAAGAGACTTAGACTCCCACACAATAATAAAGGGAGACTTTTACATCCCACTGTCAACATTAGACAGATCAATGGGAGAGAAAATTAACAAGGATATCCAGGAATTGAACTCAGCTCTGCACCAAGTGGACCTAATAGACATCTAGAGAACTCTCCACCCCAAATCAACAGAATATACATTCTTTCAGCACCACACCACACCTATTCCAAAATTGACCACATAGTTGGAAGTAAAGCACTCCTCAGCAAATGTAAAAGAACAGAAATTATAACAAACTGTCTCTCAGACCACAGTGCAATCAAACTAGAGCTCAGGATTAAGAAACTCACTCAAAACCGCTCAACTACATGGAAACTGAACAACCTGCTCTTGAGTGACTACTGGGTACATAACAAAATGAAGGCAGAAATAAAGATGTTCTTTGAAACCAACAGGAACAAAGACACAACATACCTGAATCTCTGGGACACATTAAAAGCAGTGTGTAGAGGGAAATGTATAGCACTAAGTGTCCACAAGAGAAAGCAGGAAAGATCTAAAATTGACACCCTAACATCACAATTAAAAGAACTAGAAAAGCAAGAGCAAACACATTCAAAAACTAGCAGAAGGCAAGAAGTAACCAACATCAGAGCAGAACTGAAGGAGACAGAGACACAAAAAACCCTTCAACAAATCAATGAATCCAGGAACTGGTTTTTTGAAAAGATCAACAAAATCAATAGACCACTAGCAAGACTAATAAAGAAGAAAAGAGAGAAGAATCAAATAGATGCAATAAAAACTGACAAAGGGGATGTCACCACCGATCCCACAGAAATATAAACTACTGTCAGAGAATACTATAAACACCTCTACGCAAATAAACTAGAAAATCTAGAAGAAATGGATGAATTCCTCGACACATACACCCTCCCAAGAATAAACCAGGAAGAAGTTGAGTCTCTGAATAGACCAATAACAGGCTCTGAAATTGAGGTAAAAATTAATAGCTTACCAACCAAAAAAAGTCCAGGACCAGATGGATTCACGGCCGAATTCTACCAGAGGTACAAGGAGGAGCTGGTACCATTCCTTCTGAAACTATTCCAGTTGATAGAAAAAGAGGGAATCCTCCCAAACTCATTTTATGAGGCCAGCATCATCCTGATATCAAAGCCTGGCAGAGACACCACAAAAAAAGAGAATTTTAGACCAGTATCCTTAAGGAACATTGATGCAAAAATCCTCAATAAAATACTGGCAAACCGAATCTGGCAGCACATCAAAAAGCTTATCCACCATGATCAAGTGGGCTTCATCCCTGGGATGCAAGACTGGTTCAACATATGAAAATCAATAAACGTAATCCAGCATATAAGGAGAACCAACGACAAAAACTACATGATTATCTCAATAGATGCAGAAAAGGCCTTTGACAAAATTCAACAATGCTTCATGTTAAAAACTCTCAATAAATTAGGTATTGATGGGATGTATCTCAAAATAATAAGAGCTGTCTATGACAAACCCACAGCAAATATCATACTGAATGGGCAAAAACTGGAAGCATTCCCTTTGAAAACTGGCACAAGACAGGGATGCCCTCTCTCACCACTCCTATTCAACATAGTGTTGGAAGTTCTGGCCAGGGAAATTAGGCAGGAGAAGGAAATAAAGGGCATTCAATTAGGAAAAGAGGAAGTCAAATTGTCCCTGTTTGCAGATGACATGATTGTATATCTAGAAAACCCCATCATCTTAGCCCAAAATCTCCTTAAGCTGATAAGCAACTTCAGCAAAGTCTCAGGATACAAAATCAATGCAAAAATCACAAGCATCCTTATACACCAATAACAGACAAACAGAGAGCCAAATCATGAGTGAACTCCCATTCACAATTGCTTCAAAGAGAATAAAATACCTAGGAATCCAACTTACAAGGCATGTGAAGGACCTCTTCAAGGAGAACTACAAACCACTGCTCAATGAAATAAAAGAGGATACAAACAAATGGAAGAACATTCCATGCTCATGGGTAGGAAGAATCAATATCGTGAAAATGGTCATACTGCCCAAGGGAATTTATAGATTCAATGCCATCCCCATCAAGCTACCAGTGACTTTCTTCACAGAACTGGAAAAAACCATTTTAAAGTTCATATGGAATCAAATAAGAGCCCCCATTGCCAAGTCAATCCTAAGCCAAAAGAACAAAGCTGGAGGCATCATGCTACCTGACTTCAAACTATACTACAAGGCTACAATAATGAAAACAGCGTGGTACTGGTACCAAAACAGAGATATAGACCAATGGAACAGAACAGAGCCCTCAGAAATAATGCTGCATATATACAACTATCTGATCTTTGACAAACCTGACAAAAACAAGAAACGGGGAAAGGATTCCCTATTTAATAAATGGTGCTGGGAAAACTGGCTAGCCATATGTAGAAAGCTGAAACTGGATCCCTTCCTTATACCTTATAAAAAATTAATTCAAGATGGATTAAAGACTTACATGTTAGACCTAAAACCACAAAAACCCTAGAAGAAAACCTAGGCAATACCATTCAGGACATAGGCATGGGCAAGGACTTCATGTCTAAAACACCAAAAGCAATGGCAACAAAAGACAAAATTGACAAATGGGATCTAATTAAACTAAAGAGCTTCTGTACAGCAAAAGAAACTATCATCAGAGTGAACATGCAACCTACAGAATGGGAGAAAAGTTTTGCAATGTACTCATCTGACAAAGGGCTAATATCCAGAATCTACAATGAACTCAAACAAATTTACAAGAAAAAAACAACCCCATCAAAAAGTGGAAGAAGGATATGAACAGACACTTCTCAAAAGAAGACATTTATGCAGCCAAAAGACACATGAAAAAATGCTCATCATCACTGGCCATCAGAGAAATGCAAATCAAAACCACAATGAGATACCATCTTACACCATTTAGAATGGCGATAATTCAAAAGTCAGGAAACAACAGGTGCTGGAGAGGATGTGGAGAAATAGGGAACACTTTTACACTGTTGGTGGGACTGTAAACTAGTTCAACCATTGTGGAAGTCAGTGTGACGATTCCCCAGGGATCTAGAACTAGAAATACCATTTGACCCAGCCATCCCATTACTGGGTATATACCCAAAGGATTATAAATCATGCTGCTATAAAGACACATGCACACGTATGTTTATTGCAGCACTATTCACAATAGCAAAGACTTGGAACCAACCCAAATGTCCAACAACGATAGGCTGGATTAAGAAAATGTGGCACATATACACCATGGAATACTACGCAGCCATAAAAAATGATGAGTTCATGTCCTTTGTAGGGACATGGATGAAGCTGGAAACCATCATTCTCAGCAAACTATCACAAGGACAAAACACCAAACACCACATGTTCTCACTCATAGGTGGGAATTGAACAATGAGAACAGATGGACACAGGAAGGGGAATATCACACACTGGGGTCTGTTGTGGGGTGGAGGGAGGGGGGAGGGATAGCGTTAGGAGATATACCTAATGCTAAATGACAAGTTAATGGGTGCAGCATACCAACATGGCACATGTATACATATGTAACAAACCTGCATATTGTGCACATGTACCCTAAAACTTAAAGTATAATAATAATAAAATTAAAAAAAAAAAGAACTCGGATATCTCTGTATCTATTAAATGTATAATAATCGAATAAATAATGAAAAGTTTTCTAGAAAAGAGAACACTAGGCCCAAACGATTTCACTGGTTAATTCTACCAAGTAATTAGGCAAGAAATTTATGTGCATATACATACGAATATGCTAGTGTACATAGATATGTCACCTTGCTTGGTCAATTGATTGGGCTTAGAAGTAACAACATACTAGTAGCAACAAGCACACCTAGTACCCAGATCTTGTTTCTTAGTTGAGTTATGTAATAAAAGGAACCAGCCCTTTTTGGAGAAATGGCCGATTCCAGGACTGGGACAGACAGTATACAAGATGAGCCTAGAACACCTCGTACTGCTAGAAAACACGTTGTGTTTTTCTTGGCACCTCTGATACCAAGATGTAGTAGGTGGAAGTGTGCAGTCTTCTATTTGAGGTACTCAGACTTCTATTTGAGGTACTTCTATTGAGAGGTACTCAGCGCGTGGGCACACACACAAACACACACAAAGATGTATTTATGTTAAAATGACAAAAGAGGCAAATGAAAGAACTTCCAATAGCCAAAGCTGGATCAATTTGAGCTGGATCAATTTGAACAACAAAATAAATGAAGTACTATTGGACTATAACCTAATATACAAAATAGGTGTATATGATTCATACTGATATAAGTAAATAATTCAATGAATAAATAAATGGAGATGAGACAAAACTCCCATGTAGAAGAATTTTTGAATAATTTATGGAGACACATTGTCCTCAATTCCTTAAGTGTGGGCTGTGCATAATGCCTTCTTTTCAAATAAGTATAGAAATGAGAGGGGAAAGAATAACTTTTCATTGGAGAAAACTGGTAAACACTCTCACAGCCAGGTGATCAATATTAACATCAGCAGTGGTGAATCATGTTGATAGTATGTAACTTTGATATGATGTGATAATAATGGCACTTCACCTCTGTGGTCTTTTTCCCCAATACCCATAACCCCAGTCTAATCATGAAAATAATATTAAACAAATTGCAATTGAGGGACATTCTACAAAATACCTTATCAGTACTTCTCACATTGTTAAGGTCATCAAAAACTAGGGAAGTCTAAGAAATTGTCACAGTCAAGAAGATCCTAAATATAATTTTTGACATTCTGAATGGAATCTTGAAACATAAAAAATAACCATATGTAAAAACAAAGAAAAATATGAATAAAGTGTCAATAACGGTTCTTTACTTGTGAGAAATGTATCATACTAATGTAAGATATTAATAATAGGGAGCACCATGTGTTGGGTATGTGGGAACTCTCTGAACTATCTTTGCAACTTTTCTGTATATCTAAAACTATTCCAAACTGAAAACTTGACTTTAAAAATACTATACATACAAAATATATTTTGAGAATATGCTTAAATTATGTAATGTATTTGACAAAGTAAAGAAAATTTTTCCTGAAGTTAAAAATTCTGAGATATAAAATACATTTAAGTGTAAAAATATAGTAATTGACTGCATTAACTTGGAACTTATTCTAATTGAATGGTATTATGTCTGTAGAAACCAGCCTTAGCAGATAGAATATTTATTTTTTTAATTGTCAGTTTTAGTACTCAGATAATATTGACCAGTTTTTCTTGAATTATAGTATTAAAAATGTTTGATATGAGTTGCAACGGGAGTAATTATTTTATCCCCTTTTTGTGTGTTTCTGGACATAAAATACAATGTTGCTTCTTGCTGACATTAATGATAGTTTTATTTCTTTGTGCCTCAAGTAGGGCTGCCTTCCTTTAACTTGCTTAAATGCTCTACAGAAGAGCAGACAGACAGAAATGTATCCAATACAAGCATTGCTGATTGTGATAAAATAAAATTTATTTAAGTAAGCCTTTCTGGAAATGAGTCACTTTGAAAAGATCTATATTACTTGCTTCATCTAGGTATCCGTTTAATCAAATAATTAAATACACAAACCTTTTATTTCAAGACTTAAACTTGAAATCTTAAAATTAAACAATAATTATAAATATCTACTACATTATTAGGAAAATATTACTGCTATAAAATAATACATTAATTTATAAAAGCACTTTAACCTTTATTGCAAAATTTTGCTATAAATTGTACCTTTCTAAGAGAAAATGCTTAAAATAAACATATACAGACTTCTGAAAAGAATTTTCATGAGAGCGTCTACCTACTTTCAGTGTAACATAAAGACAATAGCAATTCTCATATTACTTTATTACTGTAGATTAATTCATGAAAGCTTGCACAGTGTCACAGAGCCTGTAAGCATTAGAGCTGAGATGTGAATCCAGGCAGTCTGGCTCCAGAGTCTGTGCTTTCAACCACTCTACTCTCTCCAGGACACAAGCTGATTGTTGTTAAATCTTAAAGTCTTGTTAATTAAGAGAGATGACAAACAAAAGACAGGAAGAAATAGAAAGCTTATATTTTAGGGGTCCTTCTGGGCGTGTCCTGGGTTGATAATGTATGATTAAGACATCCAAATGTTCTTCCCTTGGAAATCTATTCTCAGTGTTTCTTGTAGTGATTCTTAGGGTTTGAGGGAATGTAGGGGGTATTCCATTAAGGCTAAAATAATCAGGACTTTTCAGAGCCTGGCTGAAAAATGGCAAAATTCTATTGATTATAAAGAATTAGAGTGAGTTGTCAGCATCAGGCATGTGATACATGTAACAAAGAGTGCACATGCCGTCATCCTCACTTGGGTTACAGCAGGAAGTAGTGACAACCTTGCCAACATGAGGTGTACTTCTTATTCTTTTGTTATAAAGTATCAGAGGAAAATCTCTGGATAGCAACATCATTTGTCAGCCGAAGTTTTCTAAGTGTGAGGGAAAATCTCAGGCCTAAATTGATTAACGTGTAAGCTCCCTCTAGTCTGACCCTCTTGTATTCTCTTGATGCTACAGATTAAATGTTTGTGTCCCCTCAAGAAAATCCTTATGTTGGAATCCAAACTTCAAGTTGATGGTATTAGAAAGTGGGACCTTTGGGCGGTATTTGAGTCATGAGGGTGGAACCATCATAATTGGGATTAGTGCCTTCATGGAAAAAGAGAGACCACGGAGAGCTAGCTTACCTCTTCCACTGTGTGAGGACACGGATAAAAGAATGAGAAAGGGGGCCAGGCGAGGTGGCTCACGCCTGTAATCCCAGTACTTTGGGAGGCCAAGGCGGGCGGATCACGAGGTCAGGAGATCGAGACCATCCTGGCTAACACGGTGAAATCCCGTCTCTACTAAAAAAAACACAAAAAATTAGCCGGGCGTGCTGGCGGGAGCCTGTAGTCCCAGCTACTCGGGAGGCTGAGGCAGGAGAATGGCGTGAACCGGGAGGCAGAGTTTGCAGTGAGCCGAGATCGCGCCACTGCACTCCAGCCTGGGTGACAGAGTGAGACTCCGTCTCAAAAAAAAAAAAAAAAAGAATGAGAAAGTGCACCTTCGACAGAAATTGAATCTGCTTACACTTTGATCTTGAGTTCGCAGATTCCAGAACTGTGAGACAACAATTTTTTGTTGTTTATAAGGTACCCAGTTGATGGTATTTTGTTATAGCAGCCTGAATAAACTAAGATACTTCATGTTTATGGCAACTCCTCTCCCCTTTTTGGTCTCTCGAATTGAAAGAGCTGCCTTCCCTCCTTTACCTGGGTACTGGGTGAAATGGAAGCTAGAGGATTCTTTCCAAGGTGAGTAAAATAATGTATCCTATTTCATTTTAGGCAAAGTAGAAATTAAAATCAAAAAACAATTGAGTAAGACATACAAAGAAACGAAGGCCTCACAAACACATAAGTGACGTTGCAAAATATAGATTCTTAATTACACTCATACCACTTTTAATGCACCAAAACCTGATCTGAATCTCTGATTTAAACATTAGCTGGAATGAATGCAGAAGAATGTGGGCTACGCTCTTATACTCAACTCTTTGAGTCTCTAATGGGAAAATCTTAAGGGCATCTTTCATACAACTTAAGCCTGTCACAACTCCTATTGTTTATCACTGCTCCAAAATTCTACATTCTACTCCAGTTCAGCCTCCAAGTTGGAAGGTAAGAAACTGATGCTACACATATTAGGTTCCTAGGGATGCTGTAACAGAATACCACACACTGAGTGGCTTAAATTAAGGTTATTCCCGTGTAGCTCTGTAAGACAAAATCCAAAAGCAATGTATTGGCAAGTTCACCCACTCTCTGGAGGCTGTAGGGCAGGATTCTTCCTTGAATTTTTTCTAGCTTCTGCCTGGCAATCTTTGGAGTTCCTCAGCTTGCAGCTGCATCACTCCAAACTCTGCCTCTCTATTCATATCCCTTTTCCCCTGCTCATCTGTATGTCTCTGTTTTCAAATTTCCCACTACTTACAAAGACACCAGTCATTGAAATAGGGCTCACTGTAATCTAGTATGACCTCATTGAACCTGATTACATAAGCAAAGACCCTATATTAAAATAGGGTCACATTCGGAGGTTCCAGGTAGACATGAATTTTGCAGGGACACTATTGAATTTGTATCTGGGCCTGGAATCATTAGCTTGTAACCTTGATTCAAGATATTACATTTGTTCTGCCAATGAGCTGTGTTGTATGAGGCCTTCATAGGTGGCTAGCAGTAGGCGCCAAATATCTTTGGTATATTTCTCTGAAGAACTGCCTCTTTACCATATTGCATCATTTTAGATTTGCACTATCCTAGATACCCAAAACATGTAAGAATAGTAACCTGAATCTTTACAAACAGATAAACATATATGATTCAGTTGTATCATTTTATATGCTAAAGTCACAAACACATAAATAACTATAACTCAGTATTCAGTGATTCCATGGACTGATCTGTGAACACAACTGTCATATAAAATAGATTTTTTTCTCCCAAAGAGACAAAGCTCCAGAAAAGTGAGGTAAACAATCTGCTTTTGCTTCAGATGGTTAGACAACATAGCAATTTTAACATCTGGTACTGTAATCATAAGAGAAAACTTCTAAAAACCAGAATGATGAAACTAATGTTCCATAGGAAATAATAATCTATTTTTTGTAGCTAAGGAAATTATTCCAAAACAAAAAAATATAAATTTTTCATAAAGAAGTGAAAATGCACACAACTCAAAGTGACTTTATGTATTAAAAAGTTATGATTGTTGGTGCCAAGAAATATGTAAAGATAAAAAATGATGCTACACTAGAGGCCTACAGACTACAAGGAGAAACTGTCAATAATCTGGTCAATTTCTATACTGTTCACAAGGCATTTTAATCATTTTGACTTCATTTCTTTTTCTCCAGTTAAAACGGAGTTTTCATTCCTATACACCAATAATAGACAAACAGCCAAATCATGAGTGAACTCCCATTCACAATTGCTATAAAGAGAATAAAATACCAAGGAATACAACTGACAAGGGATGTGAAGGACCTCTTCAAGGAGAACTACAAACCTCTGCTCAAGGAAATAAGAGAGGACACAAAAAAATGAAAAGCATTTCATGTTCATGGATAGGACGAATCAATATCGTGAAAATGGCCATACTGCCCAAAGTAATTTATAGATTGAATGCTATCCCCATCAAGCTACCATTGACTTTCTTCAGAGAATTAGAAAAAAACTACTTTAAATTTCATATGGAACCAAAAAAGAGCCCACATAGCCAAGACAATCCTAAGCAAAAAGAACAAAGCTGGAGGTATCATGCTACCTGACTTCAAACTATACTACAAGGACATAGTAACCAAAACAGCATGGTACTGGTACCAAAACAAATATATAGACAAATGGAACAGAATAGAGGCCTCAGAAATAACACCACACATCTACAACCATCTATCTTTGGCAAACCTGACAAAAACAAGCAATGGAGAAAGGATTCCCTATTTAATAAATGGTGTTGGGAAAACTGGCTAGCCATATGCAGAAAGCTGAAACTGGACCTCTTCCTTACACCTTATACAAAAATTAACTCAATATGGATTAAAGACTTAAACAAAAGACCTAAAACAATAAAAACCCTAGAAGAAAATCTAGGCAATACCATTCAGGATATAGGCATGGAAAAAGACCTAATGACTAAAACACCAAAAGCAATGGCAACAAAAGCCAAAATTAACAAATGGGATCTATTTAATCTAACGAGCTTCTGCACAGCAAAATAAACTATCTTCAGAGTGAACAGAGTGTACTAAACCTACAGAATGGGAGAAAATTTTTGCAATCTATCCATCTGACAAAGGGCTAATATCCAGAATCTACAAAGAACTTAAATAAATTTACAAGAAAAAAAATGCCATCAAAAAGTATGCGAAGGATATGAACAGACACTTCTCAAAAGAAGACATTTATGCAGCCAACAAACATATAAAAAAAGTCTCATCATCACTGGTCATTAGAGAAATGCAAATCAAAACCACAATGAGATACCATCTCACACCAGTTAGAATGGCTATCATTAAAAAGTCAGGAAACAACAGATGGCTGGACAGGGAGAAACAGGAATGCTTTTACCCTGTTGGTGGGAATGTAAATTAGTTGAACCTTTGTAGAAGACAGTGTGGTGATTCCTCAAGGATCTAGAACCAGAAATACCATTTAACCCAGCAATCCCATTACTGGATATATACCCAAATGATTATAAATCATTCTACTGTAAGGACACATGCACACATATGCTTATTGCGGCACTGTTCACAATAGCAAAGACTTGGAACCATCCCAAATGCCCATCAATGATAGATTGGATAAAGAAAAGGTGGCACATATACACCATGGAATACTATGCAGCCATAAAAAAGGATGAGTTCATGTCCTTTGCAGTGACATGGATGAAGCTGGAAACCATCATTCTCAGCAAACTAACACAAGAACAGAAAACCAAACACTGCATGTTCTCACTCATAAGTGGGAGTTAAACAATGAGAACACATGGACACAGGGAGGGGAACATCACAAACCAGAGCCTGTCTGGGGGTGGGGGGCTAGGGGATGCATAGCATTAGGAGAAATACCTAATGTAGATGACGGGTTGATGGGTAAAGCAAACCACCATGGCACATGTATACCTATGTAACAAACCTGGATGTTCTGCACATGTATCCCAGAACTTAAAATTTAAAAAAATTTTTTTTTTTTTTAATTGAGGGTTTTTGTTGTTTTTTGTTTGTTTGTTATGGTCGTGTTTGTTTTTTGAGAAACAGTCTTGCTCTGTTACCCAGGCTGAAGTGCAGTGGTGCAATCTCGGCTTACTTCAATCTCTGTCTCCTAGGTTCAAGCAATTCTCCTGCCTAAGCACACACTAGTAGCTGGGTTTACAGGCGCCTGCAACCACACCTGGATAATTTTTGTAATTTTAGTAGAGACAGGGTTTCACCATGTTGGCCAGGTTGGTCTTGAACTCCTGACCTAGGCGATCCACCCGCCTCAGCCTCCCAAAGTGCTGGGATTACAGGAGTAAGCCACCGCACCTGGCGAAAATGATTCCTCGTATTTTCCACAGAGCCCAGCCTAGTGATTGGCACATAGCAGATCTTAATAAAAGCCTGTATAATGAGGTAATGAAGCAAATTCTGAATGACAATTTTGCTATTCAAGCAATTGTACACAAATAGCTCTTAAATGAATTGCTATTATAAAAACTGACATAGAAAGTAAAACCAGTATTTGATTTTCATAAAAATACATTTTCTGGCTGATATTTTCTTTGAGTTGAGTTCTTATTTTGGTGTTGAGATTACTCTAGATGAATAAATATTGAGTTAGATGAAATATAACATCAGAATAGTTGTATTAAGAGCATAGCTTTTATCGGTTTTATAATTCACCTTCCCAGCACCCTGATGAAGGGCTAAATAGCCAATTCTGTTAGTCCTGGCAGTCATAGCCAAAGCATAACAGTATCTGTGCCTGACAAGGAGCACATTATCAAACTAGATAACAAATAAAACAAAAGGAATTGGCTCCTGGGCTTTCAACAAGTCTATAGTTAATCTTGTTAAGATTTTAATAATTTCCCCATGCCAAACTGGCCTGGTTAATTACCTTTGATTTTGCTGTCAGTTCCCTTTCTAACAAATGTCAGTCTCATTTGCCATTTGATTATTGTTGCTTTGATGGAAAATATTTAAGTTCCCTTGGGAAGGTTATTACGTTGGCAGGAAAGATAAAAGCACTGAAAAAATAATGATTAGTACTAGAAATCTGTTAATATTGAGAATATTGGGTCAAAATGAATCAAAGTAACAGCAACTAAAAATTTTAGTAAAATATAATCAGATTTTTATATAAGCCTTGGAAAGCAGTGGCTGTTTCTGGGAGTAAATACACAACCAGGCAACACGAGGAAACACAATGATACATGCTTCGGTTGAAGCAAGGTTTCAAACCCTTCAAAATAGAGGTGATGTCAGAGGCCTGTCTGCCTAAAACTGCCCTTAGTTCAACACTCCTCCTGGGATCTACTAAATGCTTCCTCAATACTACAGAGTGAATAATTTATTCCCTGGGCTTCCCCTCACAGTCAACATGAAAGTGGAAAGGTCTTTGAAAGTTCACTGATTAGTGAATAATGACACTACTTACAAGTGCACCAGTGAATAAAATACATGTGAGGCACCAGCAAGTGATGGACTAACTCAGGACTTTCCAATAGAAATACAATGCAAGCCACATACAGAATTTTAAATTTTCTAGTAGACACATTAAAAATTAGAAACAGGCGACATTAATTTTAAGAAAATATTTAATCCAACATATGCAAAAGATTATTTCAACATGTAATCAATTTAAAAACTATTGATTGCTGATTCAGTCTCCTTATTCTTTACTAATCAGCTTAGATTTTTCTATTTCATTATAATTCAGTCTTGGTACATTATAGTTTCTAGGAATGTATCCATTTATTTTAGCTTATCTAATTTGTGAGACACAATTGTCGATATTCCTTTCATATGATCCTTTGTATATCTGCAGTACCAATTTTAAGGTCTCCTTTTTTATTTATAATTTTATTCATTTGAGTTCTTTCTTGTTTTCACTTGATTGGCCTAGGTAAAGGGTTGTCAATTTTGCTTATCTTTGGAATAAAACCAACTCCATTTCATTTACATTTTCTATTGTTTTTCTATTCTATTATTTATTTCTGCTACAGTCTTCAGTATGTCTTTCCTTCTGCTAATCAGGGGCTTGGTTTATTCTTTTTCTAGTTCCTGAAGGTGAAATATTAAGATTTCTCTTTTTTTTTTTTTTTTTTTTTACTTATTTTAAGTTCAAATATTTTAAGTTCGGGGAACGTGTGCAGGTTTGTTATATAAACACTTGTCTTGGGTGTTTGTGATGCACAGATTCTTTTGTCACACAGGTATTCAGCATTTGTAGCTATAAATTTCTCTCTCAGGACTGCTTTTCCTACATCCTATAAGGTTTTATGTGTTGTGCTTTTATTTTTTAAGATTTTTTTATGTTTTTCTTTTGATTTCTCCTTTAACACATTGGTTGTTCAAGATTCTATTATTTTCACATTTTTGTGAATTTTCTAATTTTCCTTATATTGATTTCTAATTTCATACCACTGTTGTTGGAAACAATACTTGATATGATTTCAAAGTTTTTTAATTTGTTGAAATGTATTTTGTAGCTTAATACATGATTTATAATGTAGAATGTTCTGTGCATGCTTGAGAAGGTATATTTTGTTGTTGTCAAGTATAATGTTCTGTATATATCTGTTAGGTCCATTTGGTTTATAGTGTTGTCCAAATCCATGGTTTACCTTTTCATGTTTTCACTCTTTATTATATACCTATTGTTGAGAGAGGGTATTAAAGTCCCTTACTATTATTGTTTTGCTGTTTATTTATCCTTCCAGTTCTGATAGTATTTGCTTTATGTATTTACGTGCTCTGATGCTGGGTATATAACTATTTACAATTGTTATATTTGCTAGGTAAATTTTCCACTTTTCATCATGTAAGGATCCTTTTGTCTCTTGTGACTGTTTCTCACCTAAAGTGTATCTTATCTGATATAAATATAGCAATTTATGATCTCTTTTGGTTACTATTTGCATGGAATATCTTTTTCCATTCTATACTTTTAGCTTACATGTGTTCTTAGGTCTAAAAAAATCTCTTGTTGCAGCTTTTTTATTTTGCTTTTTAATCCATTCAAACACACTATGTCTTTTGATTGGATAATTTAATCCATTAACATTTAAAGTAAACATTGAGAGGTAAGGACTTACTATTGCCATTTTTAGAATTGTTTGCTTTGGCAGGGATAGACTTTTGCCAGTTAGTCCAGCCTAAAGTTCTGGATAAGTTAGCTAGTAGTATCTGTAGGTAGGCAAAGCTTGCTATCAGTCTCTAGCTGGGCAGAGTCACTGTGCTATGAAATCAGGCAGAGCTAAAGTCTGAACTCCACAGTTGGGTGGTCTGCTAGCTGAGCTTCGGGTTTAGGCTGTGTTCTGTGGCCAGCTGGGGTCACTACTGGCCTTCCAGTTTAGGAGCGGCTATGGGTTGTACCCTGCAGTTGGAGGGGGCTATAGTCTGGGCTCCTGAATCAAGCAGAACAACAGGCTATCCTCTGTATTTGAGTGGAATCACTGGCTGAGCTTTGTGCCTGGGCTGTGCTCTGTAATTAGGCAGGGCCTTAGTTTAGGCTCCACAGGGAGGATACTGGGCTTTGCCACAAGGCAGGGCCATAAGCTATGCTCCATGGCCAGGAAGGTTGCTTAGCAGGTGTATTAGTCCATTTTCATACTGCTATAAAGAACTGCCTGAGACTGGGTAATTTATAAAGGAAAGAGGTTTAATTGACTCACAGTTCAGGATGGCTGGGGAGTCCTCAGGAAACTTAACAATCATGGTAGAAGGCGAAGGAGAAGCAAGTCACCTTTTTCACAGGGCAGCAGGGAGGCGAAGCGGAAAGTGAAGGGGGAAGAGCCCCTTTTAAAACCATGGGATCTCGTGAGAATTCACTCACTATTACAAGAACAGCATGGGAGAAACTAGCCCCATAATTCAATTACCTCCACCTGGTCTCTCCCTTGACACGTGGAGATTATGGGGATTACAATTCAAGATGAGATTTTGGTGGGGACACAGCCAAACCATATCACCAGGCTTTCTTATTAGGTGCATCTGCAGGCTATGCTCCTCAATTGAACAGGGCTTCTGGCTTGGCTTCCGGCCAATCCAGAACCACACTCTGGGCTCTGAAAATGGGCAGAATTTCTTCCTGGGTTCCTTGGTCAGGCAGGACTACAGTCTATATTCTGCAGTTGTATAGGGTTGCTGAATGGGCTACCTGCTTAAGAAAAGCCAATAGCAATGCTCCAAGGTTGGGCTGGACCATTGACTAGGGACCCCAGCTGGGGAGTACTGAACTACTGGATCAACTCTGATGGTAGGTAGAGCCACTGGTTGCATTCTGGCTAGATCACACTGCCTGTAGGGATACAATGCCTCTGCCAAGATCCATGTGCTGACTGCTGTAAACCCACCCCCTTTCTTTGTTCCTATGTGACCCCAAGTAGTCTAGTCCCCCCAGTGCTCTCTGTGAAGAAGGATAGAAGTGGCCCTTCCAGAAGGCACGTCAATATGCTTGGGAAGCTGTATATTGTTCTTGGGTTCTCTTTTCCCCACTGCACAAACTCTAGGCCTAAGGAAATCTCTCAGTGTAGTGCTGTGCCAGCCTGGGGCAGGGAAAACACAGTGAAAGGGAAAGTGTTCCTCTTACTTTTCTAATGTGGCTTTATGGGGCTTTTTGCAGTTTTAATGATGCCTCACCCTCAGGTTCTGGGATTTTCACAAAGGCATCCTTGTCAGTGACTAGTTGCTGGTTGATATTTCTATGAGGAGAACTAGAGGTAGGACCTTCTATCCCACCATCTTGCTGATGTCACTCTCTAATGGTTACCTCCTAAAAAGTGGTTATGCTCATGAAGCATTTGATAAGATAATAATCCAAGGAGATTTTCTAGAATATATTTATCATATGCTCCTATTTTTTAAAATGAGTCTGTATGAGCCCTTAAATTACACCCAATTTTTAAATATGGGAAATTGAGAACAATTAGCATAGAATTATTGGCAAAACTATACCATGTGTGTGTAAAGTAAGACACGGTGTGCTAACCAACTCTTGCTCACAGGCAAATGGAAGTAATTATAAGCCACTTAATCAAGACCTAAATCCAACTTTAAGCTGGGGGAAATAGAGACTCAGAACCAGGGATAGAGCACTAAATATTATTACTAGAGTTGTCTTATGAGCAAGGATAATGCCTTAAATATAATATGCATGAGTTTTAAAGGGCCATCTGGTGAGATTAATTAATCTAGAGCTTCCATCTGACAGTAATTAAAAATTATAAGCTAAGGAGATATAAGTAGAAATTCAACTATTATAAAGAGGAACAAAAGAAAGGGGGAAAATGGCAGTTAATTGGAGAGAAGATAAATTTTAAAAGTCTCCTCCTTCCTGAAGAATTTAAAATTTCAGAGCTTGAGTAGGTTTTTTAACACAGAGACCAAAAACTGGTTCCAAGCAATCAAGGAAGGCAGGAACCAACGTTGAAGAAGGTAGTTTCTTTTTTTCTTTCTTTCTTTCTTTCTTTCTTTCTTTTTCTTTCTTTCTTTCTTTTCTTTTTTTCTTTCTTTCTCTTTCTTTCTTTTCTTTCTTATTTCTCTCTTTCTTTTTCTTCTTTCTTTGTCTCGCTCCTTCCTTCCTTCCTTCCTCTTTCTTTCTCTCTCTCTCTCTTTTTTTTTTTTTTTTTGAGACAGAGTTTTGCTCTTGTTGCCCAGGCTGGAGTGCAATGACGTGATCTTGGCTCACTGCAACCTCCATCTCCTGGGTTCAAGTGATTCTCCTGCCTCAGCCTCCCAAGTAGCTGGGATTACAGGCATGTGCCACCACAACCGGCTCATTTCGTATTGCTAGCACAGACGGAGTTTTGCCGTGTTGGTCAGGTTGGTCTTGATCTCCTGACCTCAGGTGATTCACCCACCCTGGCCTCCCAAAGTTCTGGGATTACAGGCATGAGCCACCACGCCCAGCCAGTGAAGCTGTTTTCTCAGGCTATGGATTGGACTGGTTCAATAATTTATTGTACTGTGAATAAGGACACCCCGTGCATTTGGGAAATTAGAAATATAATGTCTAAGATGAATAAAATAGTTCCAGTTAGTAAAATGACACCTCTACTGAGAAAAATAGAGAAAGAGAGCAGGAGAAGATACAAGAAGAGAGAGAGATCCCATTACTGAAATTTTGCATTTCATTTAGTATTTTTAGTTTCTCAACAATCTTAAAAGTTATATACTTTGCTTGTTTTAATGAGAAGGAAACAGAAGCTTAGAAAAGGTTAGTTAATTTCTCAAATGTAGATAGCAGATCTGCCTAATGCTAGACTCTGTGCAAACTTGTGAATGTATTATATAGTAAAACCACAAAGTCTTGCTCTAGCAGAGTGAAAAGAAATCTTTATCATTTATAGACTGGCATGTGGCAGAACTTCTTAAGAATTTGAGAAATGAAATAAATAAATATCAAAGCTTCTTACATTTATTAATGCTGAAGGGTAAGCACCTAAAATAAATGATTGTTTGCTTAACAGAACAACTGCATTAGTTTTGGGTGGTGTAAAATCAGATCCTGAGCTTAGAGTGGGTGAAGTGAAGAAGTGCACAACTCTACATAAGAAAGAAATGGGGGCCAGGAGTGGTGGCTCACGCCTGTAATCCCAGCACTTTGGGATGCCTAGGTGGGTGGATCACCTGAGGTCAGGAGTTCAAGACCAGCGTGGCCAACATGGTGAAACCCCATCTCTACTAAAAATATAAACATTAGCCAGGCGTTGTGGCACACACTTGTAATCCTAGCTGCTCAGGAAGCTAAGGCAGGAGAATCACTTGAACCCGGGGAGGTGGAGATTGCAGTGAGCCAAGATAGCAGCATTGAACTCCAGCCTGGGCGACAAGAGTGAAACTCCATCTCAAAAAATAAATTAAAAAAAAAAAAAAGAAATGGGATTTTAGCACTTGGAGGAGGGATTTCTGGAGAGAAAGATATTTACAAACTCAAGAAAATGCCTAAGTAAGAGTTAGGGCTTAAGAGTAGAAATTTCCAGAAGTTTTGGATTGCATTTTAGGGTGGTAATATTTAATATTCCACTGTATATTATTGCTTGTAATCCTCTTCTGTTACTCTCAAACCGAGCTTTAGGAAAAGTTGATTTAAAAAAATAACTTAGTATTAGTAAAACTTTGTGAGAATAAAAGTATCTGAAGAGCATTCTGACTGATTTGAAGAAACACACAAAACAATTAGCATCTTAAGGGGCAGAAGTAATAACAGGTAGGAAGCAAGTCAGATTAGACTGACCCAGTAGAGATGAAACTCTAGGAAACACTAAAATATCAGATGAGACTTTCTACAGCATGAGGCCGGGAGATACAAGGCAGCATGTTAGAACAATGAAGCAAAGAGCAACCTCAGAAGGCTGAAGGATACAGAGATATATGAGCTACACAAGAAAAGGGACTGCCATCCTAAGGTAATTCTCTAAGTGTTGGAAATGAATTTTTGAAAGATAGGATCAATTTTACCTAGTTCTGGGCAATAACCCAGTTACTGAGGGGGCTGATGCTGTGTCTGTTTCTGATGGTGGCTCCTCTGTCAGTCTGCGGAACTGAGATTATGAGCCTTTATGGCAAACATCACCATCTCAAACATTTAAATTTTTCCAGTCACAAATTCATAGTATTCTAAAAATGTTTCACAATGTATCATTTCAAAAGCAGATGCAAAAGTGATAACATAGATGTAAATTTGTATCACTCCTTTTGTCAGAAAAAAAACAAATTCTTAAAAATACTGTCTATGGATATTTCTGAGTAATGCTCATGGAAGCTCTGAGGTAAATGAATTTTGGTTTCGAAACCAAAAAGTCTTCTGTAATATGCTTTTTCAAAATCTGTGACTGTTAACTACATAGGAGAAATTACATTAAAAATGAAAAGGTTATTTAACAAGCTAGTGAGTGTCTTTTTTTTTTTCTGATGAAGTCTGTCTTTTGGGAACACTGCAGGGCAAACAAACTTCTGATTGATTAATGACTGATCCAATAAAATTAATACACTCCTGTAAGTTACATGAAACACAGGTCCAAGGAACAGATGGTTGAATATATCTGTAGAGCCACACTGACAAACTGCAGATAAAGACCTAATGAAACTATTAAAATAAATTTATATATGTCAAACATCTGTTCTTTTATAGCTAGTACAATAAGTAACAGAACAGAAATGGAATCAATTTTGTCCCCAAAATAATTGTTGCATTGTTTAAATTTTGACATTGGCCAGATGTTTAAAGGTGGTCTCTTGATTAACATATATAAATATACAGGATTATTCCTTTTGCAAAAGCTTAAATAAAAGAATGAGAACAAAAGGTGGTAGCTAACTTTTCTCATCTATATATTTCTCAAATACTCAGTGTTATATTTTATATGTATTACCCACAAAGCAGTAACAGTTTTGTCTACTTACCACATTAAAAACATTTCATCTTTTGCAGCACTGACTTTACCACTCTTTATGCTGTTGACTTGCAGGCATCAGTGTCTATTGGTGGATATCAATTTTAGTCCATATGGTCAAAGATAGGTGATAGATTGTTTTAAAATCCTAAATGGATTCAAGAGAGATTTGTTGTCAAAGGAAAGATAAAAATTTAGTGTAATTGTATGTTTCCACAGTGCTGTCACTTTTCACAATCTCTTTAAAAACTCCTATTAATTTATGTGAATTTTAAAGTATAATAAAAGAATGTCTCACTAAATGTGTTGATGAGTACAATTGAAATATATTACGGAATTTTATCCAAATGTATTATAATTTTCTATAATAATGTGAATTTGGTTAGGAAGAAGCAATTAGAGTATATTCAGAATATTTACAACATAGTTCATTATTTGTTTTTTTACATTAGGTGATTAGTTATGCCTCGTGACACCTATTATATCTATTCTATCAAATTTTGAGGGGCAGATATTAAGCTGCCTAGCTACAGCCTTCAGTTGATATATTTTCTAGGATAGTAAACCTAATTAGCATGATGCTAAGAGATTATCAAAAGCTTTTCTATTTTACTAATGACTAAAATTTAGCTCTTTTCCACGCTGATAATAAATTCAAAATGGCAAAATAATGTATACATTGTCCTATTAATGAGATACAATCACAAGCAACTGATTTCCAAAAGTGTCAAATTCTGTTTAATATTATTCCAATATATCTACAATTTACTAGAGTTAATTTTATAATATAATATTTTGGAATACAATTTTGATAGAGGTCTAAATAATTTAATAATTAAAAAAATTTAGAATGTATAGGCAATTTTTTAAAAAGTGGTGTTTCTACTTTTCATACTGTTCTACAGAAAGAATAACTTTCTAAAACAGCCTAAGAGTATAGGCAACAATATTCAGTGTGACAAATATGAAAGATATATTTTGATGACAAATCAACATCTCTCATTGTACTTGTTAGCCATTTTTCAATACTGCACATGTCATGCAAATACCATGAGACCACACTATATAACACACACATCAATAAATAAAGGAAATGTGGAGATTGATTTGATTTTTATTTTTAGTTTACTCTGCTCAAAAATATTTTCCTCTGAAATATGAGATAAAAATAAATAAATAAATACATCCAAAACTTTCTCTTTAAACTGTTAGTATAAATCTATAATTTTTAGAAAGGGAGAAAAATTAGTAAGTTAATTTCTATGTAAAATAAATATTTAAATACCCTAAAAATTAAAACAGAGTAACTTTAAATTGGTATATTCTGTTATTTTTCAAGATACCCTATTTTTTTCTGGATTTTTAAAGAAAGAATAAATTGTGAATAACTTTAGAGTTATAGCATATTATTGTACACCTTTTTAATGCAAATGAAACATCTTTGTGTAGTGTAACTAATATTAAAAGGCAATCATTTAATTAAATTCTATATTCCTTTAAATTTCTAAATAAATATGGATTTTCTATATAATGAGAAACAAAATTTCAAAATATATTTTTCTTAGATTTTTCAATCTTATTAAAATACTTACTGTTACAAATTCACAAATAATACCTTAAAATAGCTTGCAATTTTAAAATACTCATTCATTACCCTGTTAATGATCTGGAGCGCACTGACTAGATATAAAGATTATATATTTAAATACTGCTATTCCTAAATAGGTTAAAGGCACATTTTTGATGATTTAACCAAATAAAAAAAGGAAACTAAGCAATTCAGAATTATAAATAACATTTTAGTGCTCTTTGCTCTGTATCTTTCTGTTTGTCTGATTAAAGCTTTGTATAGCTAACCATCTGAATAAACAGAATATGTATGACTAATGTCAATATGTCAGTCATGAATAAAACAAAGCACCAATAAATATATTCACTGAACTATTACGAAGCTCATATAAGATAATGTACATGAAAGCACTTCGGAAACTGTGAAGCAGTACATAAACGTAAGGTGTTATTATCATTATTATGTACTTCTGACTGTACACGAGAAGAATAGCAGTCAAATCTATTGTAAAACTGCATTCTTAGAAGACAATGAACTTAATATTCTAAAGCTGATTCACAGGTGGACTTTTGTATTTGAAACACTAGACAAAATGAGCAATCTGAAAAAAAAAACATTCTGATAAAACTCACAGACATCCCAGAAACTCTCTCTTATTGAAAAGAACACGTGTCTTTATTTTGTTACAGTATAATGGGAGTTTTTACATGTCTTTTTCAATGCTTTTATAGAGTTAAAAAAGAGTCAAAGATAGGGAATCAGAAATTGAAATCTGGCCCCAATTTTACTCTAGTTTACTACATGATTACAAGAAGACTTAATCTCTCAGACTTCAGTTTTTACATTATAAATGTGTCTAAAATGGCTTTCTCAGAAGGCTTGATAAAATAAAACATTTGAATACCATCCACTAATCTGATGTGTAATATGTTTAAGTATAAATATTTAAAATAATCTTTAAAAATTTCCCCCTCCTTACCAGCCTGTTATGAACTAATGTTACCTTAGCGTGTATTCACCAAATATTTTGGGCACATTGTCTCCCACTTGCTCACACATGGCATCCCACCCTACAAACATTTCCCCAAACTATTTCTGGAAATCTTCCCCGGCATCTTGTTTGGCAGCAATGGAAATGCATAGATCTGACCACTCATGAGTTTTCAATAACCAGACACTTTTCTATGTTCCTCTGGTCAGGACACTCTCCCATACCTCACAGCATATTTTTCCGTGCTCCATTTTCTTAAACCATTGAATCAACCACTTCCCATCTAACTTTTAGTGGATGATATTTTGTCTGACTTTGCAAAGAAAATAGAGACAGAAGAAGGGTGAGTAAAGTTAACAAGATTGCATGCTACACTTTAAAATAGCTATGAGAGGATTTTGTTCTTACCACAAAGAAATGAGTGTTTGCAATTTTAAAAATGCTAAATACCTGGATTTGATCATCCCACAATGTATATATGTATCAAAACATCTCACTTTACTCCAAAATATTTACAATTATTATGTCTTTATTTAAAAAAATAAAAAGGAAACTAATACTACTTTCTTTTTCTTGTACTGCCCTTTTCTCCTTCTCCTGGCTTAGAATGAAGTATTTGTCACTCTTATGTGAGTGTAATCTTTCTACCTGCACTTTAGAGCAGTGTTCCTCAAATTATCTTTAAACAACCAAAAATTTTAAAATTCTCAATCAATACAAGCTGACATTTTTATTAGATTCAACTAATACAAAATGACTGTGTAAAATTAGTATAAAAGTTTCTGAATGCTTATTTTCAATTTCTGTACCTCACCTCACAAATCAGTAACAGTTGATGAATCAAGACCAGTTCTTGGACCTGACTTGAGTAGCATTTATTAGTGTGCAGCACCTCTCATCTTTTTAGGGCCATTGAAGTATGAATTATCCCCTCTTCTGCATCCTTCTCCTCGTGTGTTGGCTTCCTCATTCACATTTAAGCATGCTTATGTTTCTTCTCCCTTCAAGCTACCATTCTATAGCTCAGCTGTACTTTTCATCTAACAGTTTTAAAGAGTAATCTGCAGTAACCATAGGGTTGCCCTCTTCTCTACCTCACTCCTAAGCTTACTGCTGTCTGGCTTCCATCTCAATTGTGCCACTGGAACTACTCTTGCCAAACAAATAATCAGGGATTTTTTTTTTCCCCTGAGACATTTGGCAATGGCTGAAGACATTTTGTCACAACCGAGGCATACTACTGGCATCTAGTGGGTAGAGGCCAAGGAAGCTGCTAAACATCCCACAATGGACAGAACAGTTCCTCAAAATAAAGAATTACCGAGTCCAAAATGTGCTGAGGTTGAGACACTGTTTTAAAAGCAAGTGCCACATTTCAATCCTAATATATCTTGACATCTTCCAGGATTCGACACTGTCAAATAATCTGTAATTCCAGATTCAGGGGCAGCATCCAATCGGCTGAGTTCAAGTCATTCACCTAGGCTCTAGCTGACGAGCAACTGAGAGAAAGAATATCTGCTCCCCTTTGCTCCTATGTTTTCTTTCCATCTAGAGATTCCCCTCTAATTTGTATTCAGATGATAGATAAAAGAAATGATGAAGGTTGACTATAGTGTCCCAAACCAACTATGCATTTCCTCAAACCTTCCATGCTTAACTCACTGACATGGCCCAAAACCAGAGTTGCCACACCAAACCTGCCTCTTTTTCTTTTATTTTTTTTTCTCTTCTTCCTCCCTACCATCTAATTACCAAGTCATGCTCACTCCACTTGCTATTATCTCAAATCTACTCATTCCTCTTCATCTCAATCTCCAATATCATTGTCAATAAGAAGGCTGAAGAAACAAGCTTCAAAAATGGGCAGAAACCAAGGGCCTCTGAGTCTGGAATGAGTGACCCACAGAAGCAGGAGATGGAATAGAAGTCATTCCAGCACTGACAGTGGCAGAAGTGGCTCCCAGCATCTTGTGGCTGTGGTGCTGGGTTATCCAGTCTCAGTGAGACTCCTTGTGTTACATGAGTATTTATGAATCATCATTTTGCTCCTATACTCTTATTAAAGCATCCTGTATCCTGATTTCTTGCTTTTAACCTCCCCACAAAACATTCTCAAAACTGCATTCAGAGTTGTCTTTCTAAAATACAAATCTAACCAATTCATCTCTTTTCATTAAAACCATTCAACGGCTTCTAATTCTCCTGTGGATAAAGGCAACCTCCTTATTAAGCTTTGTCCAGCTTTGTGATCCAGCACCTGACTCCTTCTCTGTTCTCAACTTTGATTCTTTAGATTCGACATATGTGTGAGATCATACAGTATTTGCTTTCTGTGCCTGCTTATTTAACGTAGCATAATGCCTTCTAGGTTCATCCATGTTAATGCAAATGATAGGAATTCCTTCTTTTTAAAGATTTAATAGTTTTCCATTTTTATTCATTCATCTGTTGACAGACACTTAGATGGGTTCCATATCTTGGCTACTGTGAATAATGCTGCAGTGAATGTGGAAGTGCACATATCTTGAGATAGTGATGTTATTTGCTTTGGATACGTACCCAGGAGTGGGATTGCTGGATCATGTAGTGGCTCTTTTTTTAATTTTTTGAAGAACCTTAATACTACTTTCCCTAATGGCTGTACCAATTAATAGTCTCACAGTGTATAAGGGTTCCCTTTTCTCCACATCCTTGCCAACACTACTTGCTCCTTCTATGTTATCAAAGAATACACAGTCCTCTCTTTATACTTTTATGTTATATTGTATGTACACATTTTATTTATCTGTATTCCTTCTCCCTTTATGGAGAGATAAACCCTTTCAGAGCATACATTTAATATGTTGTATTCATTGCTTTATCTCTTGTCCCTAGTTTATCACTGGGCACATGGGAGGTGCTGAATAACTAGTTTATGCGACAATAATGCCTGGATTCTGTTTCCTCCCAGTGCTGCTCCTTCTTTCCTGCCAAGGTCTTTCTTCCCTTGTACCTTGTCATGGTCTCCTTGCTTACCATGGATTCCCCAAGAATAACACTACCTTTCCCAGGGCATACTTTGCCCATTTTTACCCAAAGCAAAGCATGAAGGTTAGGAGTCACAAAACTTTGCTACGTTCCCTCAATTCTTTGCTGAACCTGAGTCACACTGGCTCTTATGGAAATGGTGAAAATGCCTCTCTTCCTGGTACAGTCAAACAAGTCCCAGAATCCAGGCTTGGAGTACATGCTGTTCCTTCTATTTCTGTCTGTCTTCCACTCCCACCTTTTATTTTGCCTCAAACAATATCTTCAGAAAACATTCTTCTCACATATCTATCCCATGCCCTCCATATAAACTATCTATATAAATGAACACCAGCTTCCAGCTTACACTGAACCAGGACTATCTCTAAGAAAGAATATATACAATTATAGCTTGCTCATATTCTTTGATTGTTATAAAATGTCCTCAATGGAAGAATCAGAAATACACACTCAGTTGAGTAAAAGTTAAAATGTAGGTATAGCACATAGAAGCAATATTATTTTTCACATCTTTTGCACACACTAAACTTCCATTTCCATTTATAAGAATCACTTACATTGGAAGAATGGACCCTCAGCCGACTATAGGGGTCCTTAACCCAAATGTAAAAATGTAATAGATATGTTGGCTCTTGGAAATAACCAAAGAAAGAACATTTTAATAAAAATAAATAACAAAGTTTCTAATAGTGTATACAATAAATAAAGCATTTTTATGATAAAGTATCACTTCCATGTCACTCACTCGAGAATGTTCACTAATTCTGTATTCTTAAAGCAGAAGTAAAAAGCCAAGATGGGAGCCAGAATTTATGATTGTTATCTACCATGTAACCTCAATATTTAATTTATAATATGAAGAACTCTAATTTTTCTATCATAAGAGGACATTTATAGAATTTTAGTCCTAAATTTTCAGGAAAAAGAAATGATAGCTTTCAATATTTAATTGTTGTTATTTACAAATATTGCTCCCACTCACAAGTACTAGAAGGGAAATTATTTCCATAAGAGATGTAAATTATCTGTAAATATCTTTATCCATAATGGCACATCAAATCATGAGAGACTAGTAAATCATTTGTCGAGGCACACACAATAATCATATTGAAGAAAAACTCTTCAACGTTCATACTTCATGCAAATTTATTCCCACACTCTAGCTAGATCTTCTATCTGTTCATCTGCTTGCATGTGTTGCAGGATTGCTGTTCACCATCTACTTTCATGTCTGTGTATAATTTTCACATTGTTCTGGAATTTACTGAACTATTAAATTTATAGTTCTGACTCATCTGTACAACTTGGGAAAATTTTTGAGACAGAAGCCAATTCTCCGTGGATATGTTCCTTCTTCACTTTATGTACTACTCTTAGTTTCTCTTAATCTTTTTCCTGCTGAACTGTATCTTCCTGATTATCATGCTATCTCAAAAGCAAAGGAGTATGTTTCAGATGTTTTTATGTAAAGAGAGAGACTAGCATTCTTATCCATTAAAAATCATTTTTGTGTTTATAAACCAAAGTTGTGTTTTCCTCCCTCTCTCCCTTTCTTCCTTCCTTCCTTTCTCCTTCTCACTCTCCCTTCTTCCCTTCTTTTTTCTTCTCTCTGTGTGTGTGTGTGTGTGTGTGTGTATGCATCTGTCTTTCTTGTCTCTCTCTGTTTGTTTATTTTCAGTGTGGGAATTTGTTTTCTGATTGCATTGCAAATATGCACTTGCTCACTATATTAATTCTTTTGTATGCCTGTGATTAAATCCAACTCTACTGCTCAGTTGCGATTTGCTGGCCTTCTCATTCATACATATATATGTATATACATGTATATATATACATATATACGTATATATATGTATACATGTATACATATACATATACATACGTATACATGTATATATATGTATATACGTATATATGTATATATATACATGTATACGTATATACATGTATATATACACATATATGTATATACATGTATATATGTATATACATGTATATATGTATATATATACATATATATACACATACACACACACTCAATATGTTATATATATACATATACATATGTTATGTTATATATACACATATACATATGTCATATGTTATATATACACATATACATATGTCATATGTTATATATACACATATACATATGTCATATGTTATATATACATATACATATGTCATATGTTATATATACATATACATATGTCATATGTTATATATACATATACATATGTCATATGTTATATATACATATACATATGTCATATGTTATATATACATATACATATGTCATATGTTATATATACATATACATATGTCATATGTTATATATACATATACATATGTCATATGTTATATATACATATACATATGTCATATGTTATATATACATATACATATGTCATATGTTATATATACATATACATATGTCATATGTTATATATACATATACATATGTCATATGTTATATATACATATACATATTTATATGTTATATATACATATACATATTTATATGTTATATATACATATACATATGTTATATGTTATATATACATATACATATTTATATGTTATATATACATATACATATGTTATATGTTATATATACATATACATATGTTATATGTTATATATTACATATACATATGTATATGTTATATATAACATATAACATATGTTATATGTTATATATACATACACTCATTCATTCATATATATATATAAAATCATGCATGGTCCTTTGAACTAGGTATCAAAAACTACAGATATAAGATTATACGTGTATATATATAATATATATTTTATATATCCATGACTTATGCTGTCCTTTTCATTCATATATATTATATATACATATTCATATATTATATATGCATAAATATATGCATATATATGAATTAATATATAATAAATATATAAAATAAATATATAATATGAATAAATAAATATAAATAAATATATAATTATATAATATGAATAAATAATATGAATAAATATATAAATATATACATATATAATATACATATATAAATATATGCATATATAATCTACATATATTGATGTACATATATGTACATATATAAAATCATGTATGGTCTTTTGCACTAGACGTTAAAAACTACAGACATCTGAATGCATTCTGCCAGTTAGCAGATGTCGATATGACATCTACCAGCTATAGAATAAATGATATTTTATAAACCAGGTTATTAGTTGAGAGTTCAAACTTTCTTTCTTTGTTTTTCAATTTTCTCCCTATCTAATCTTTACAAATATGTTCTTTTATTTGTTTTGAAGTCTCAACTTCAATTTAACAATTCAGGGTACAAACTATAAGAAAGTTTTATATGGCTGAAGTGTTTTTCATGTTACATAATTAGCATCTCCATCCTTTAATCGATTCTTACAAATGATTGCTATGGTGTACCTATGTGTTTGGAAGAATTCAAGTTGCTTTGTATGATCCCCCAAGCACTCCAGTACTTGCATTTTTACCAGCATGGGTCTTCTTTTGTCATGCTTGCCTTATATTGAGAATTTGGCATGGCTTCTTATTTGTTTTGACATTGGTAAACTTTTACATGTATTTATTTTAAGCTATAGTTTCCTCGTAGGCCCAAGACAAAAACCCTAAGCACTGTACTGGATTTCTCTTTCTCTTTCACTCCACTCTTTACAATCCCTCAGAACAAACTGTCTACTCAACCTTCAAAGTACCCTCCATGTCTTAAAGTTACCTTTTACCTCCTCTAACTGCTTCCCAGTCCAATTCACTATCATACCTCATTTGAATCACTACAGCAATTCAGTACAGGTTTCTCTGTTTTCATTCTTGTTCTCCTGTGTCTGTTCTCAACCCAGCAACCAGACAGATCTTGATAAACCTTCATTCTTGTGTTAAAACCTATGAAGGGCTTCTAACAACACCTATAATAAAACAGTAAGACTTTATGAGGAGCAGAAGGCCCTATGCAATAGGGCTCTTAGCCACCGCTATACGTTCAGCTTCCAGAATTTCCCTCTCACATGCTGCTCTGACTACACTAGCCATTTTGCTTTTCCACAAACATGCCAAGTTCCTGCCTGCCTCAGAGCCTTTCCCATGTCTCCTCTGTCCGAAATGGTCCATCACCAGGTCCACATATGGCTCCTCTTTGTATCATTCAGGCCACTATGATCATATGTAAGTTCTATGTCCTACCCCACATCATTCTTCCATCCCCTTATCTTGCCTTATTTCTCTTGTAGTCTTTAAAATTTCCTGAAAATATATTGTTTGCTTATTTTTGCATTATGTATTGTCTGTTTTCTTCTTTAGAATGCAAGTTTCATTAGGGAAATGACTTTTTCTGTCCCTCTCTGTGTCTCAAGCACCCAACAGTAACTGATATATGGTATATAATGAATGGATATGAAGTAAGTGTCATGTGAAATAGATGTTCTTCTTATTATTTTACAGCTATAGAATCCAAGGTTCAGAAAGGTAAAGCAACTTGTCTAGTGTTAGTTTGCTAGTAAGTGACACAGGCCAGGTTAGGATCTGAGCACTCTGCAGTGTGGTTTGTTACTCAGAATGATAAATATATCCCCTTCCAGCCACTTAACCATTCTGCAGGCTCTGGTCATTATGTGCAGTTTATTCCCATCTGTAATATTAAAAAATAAAGAACTTAATCCTAACCCCTATGGCAGCCCATTCACTGGACTCTGTGCATGATAAACACAGCCTTCTTTCTTGGTCTTAATATTGTACTGAACATTTTTCATGTCCTTGTCATCAAAGAATTACAGACTGTGTTCTAGATGTGATTAACTCATTAATCTTCACAAAACCTAAGCAAGGTTAGTAAAATTATTCTTATTTTACACCCAAAGAATGGTGACCCACAAAAATTATTAGGTGTGCTCAGGGTTATATGGTAAGTTTAGGCCAAGAACTCACAGAGCTATTTCCACATGTTTATTAGAGAAGCTTTTAGTCTATGAGATGGCATAACATTTAAACTAATAGCAGCAATTTTATTTACAAAAACACACTATGAATTGTTTTTAACAATCAAACATAAGATTTAGTCATACCCTCCCTTAGGTTAGTATTTAAATCTCTTAATCTGTTTCTTCATCTGCTAAGAGTGAACAGTAGTAATACTGATCAGAGAATACTTTAGAGTGTTCATGACATAGTACACTTTCAGGACCTGGCACTCAGTCAGCTTCCAATAATAAATGGCACTTACTATTATATTTATATTATTATTAGAAGAAAGGAGCTGTGATTATTTCATATAAACAGAACAAAAATTAACATTTTACTATTTGTGAATAATGTTTTGAAAAGAAACCACACTGGGAAACTGTGTGCAGAAGTGTTCACCTTCCTCGTGAGCAAGCCTCTTTCAATCACTTTATAAATAAGCATCTATTTGCTTCCACTTGTACGCTTTGTATAGGACTTGTATCTTTTAATGCAGCCAGCAGGACTTACCACTGGTAACGATATTCACCATTAACTTCAAGTAACCATGGTAATGTCAAGGTATGAAACCCATTTTTATTGATATTATTTTTAAAAAAATTTTAAGTGATTATTTTCATCTATTTGGAACTCCTGAGAGTTTGCACTTTGGGTATCAAAGTTGGTCTTGAGAATAGTTTGGTTGCTGAACAGAAACTAGCTTAAAGCAGATTTGGGGTAAGGATCTAAGAACATCTCAAAAGTCTCAATTGCAGTAGGCCATGTGAGATCTCACTGGAACTGATGCACTGTTAGGCAGCTACTCTCTCTCACATCTCATGGAATCTCATGTCTGCTCATGTGTTCATGACTATGCATATGTTTGCGTTTGCAGATTCCATTTGCCTCTGTGAACCCAGCTTCCTCAGCAAAAGATTCATTTTTTTTTCAACTTTTATTTTAGGTTCAGTGGGTACATGGGCATGTTTGTTACCTGGGCATATTGCATAATGCTGAAGTTTGGGGTACAAATGATCCCATAACCCAGATACTGAGCATAGTACCCAATAGTTAGCTTACCAACTCTTGCTTCCCTCTCTTACTTTCCCTTCCAGTGGTCCTCCGTTTCTATTTTTACCATCTTTATGTCCATGAATATCCAGTGTTAAGCTCCCACTTATAAGTGAGAACAAGTGGTATTTGGTTTTCTGTTCCTGTGTTAATTCACTAGAATAATGGCCTCCAGCTGCATCCATGTTGCTGCAAAGGACACGATTTTGTTCTTTTTCATGGCTGCATAATATTCTATGATGTTTATTCACAATAGAAAAGATATAGAATCAACCTAGGTGCCCATCAACAGTGGATTGAATAAAGCACTTATTTTTTGCTCCCCCATTACTTTTCAAGTGACTCTGTGTTACCAGGTCATCTAATCTGGCCTGACCTCACTATGATCTCTCAGTCTCAGTACGTAACCCCACTGAACTGATTCAGTACCTTGAGGTTACTTTCAAATTTCTTGGAGGCTGCCATGGACTTTTGTGTCCCCCTAGAAATCCATATACTGAAGCCCTAATGCCCAGTGTGATGGTATTAGGAGGCGGGGACTTTGGGAGTTAATTAGACTTAGATGACATCATGAGGGTGGCACCCCATACTGAGATTAGTGCCCTTATAAGGAGATTAAGGGACTAGAGCTATTTCTTTCCATGTAAGGATACAGCAAGAACCAGAAGGAGGGCTTTCACCAAGGAACCAACTATACTGGCAACCTTATCTTGGGCTTTTAGCCTCCAAAACCATAAGAAATGAATGCTTGTTGTTTAAGCCACTCAGTCTATGCTATTCCATTACAGCAGCTCAAACTGAAGCAGATATATAATCTGATTGAGCCAGAAATGCTCAGCTTCTCTCTGGTAGTGAATTATCCACATCAATAATGAGGTATCATCTCTAAAATGGTGTAGCAGGGAGGAAATGACAAGCATCTCTACTAATGATGTATAAGATAACAGCTTCACAAATGAAATTGACTTGGTGGTTTGTCTATTTTTTACCTATATTTTTACAGGACCATTGTTTACTTCTTTCATAAATATCTGGTTTCCCCAGTATCTGCAATTTGAAAAAAGATTATCTGATGAATTGATATCAATCCTGCAACTATACACTGGCAAATTTTATGTGTCACATTCTGCATGGTCCTATGCAGAAACAGGGATTTTAAAAATACTGCTAATTATCTAGGTTGTGCAGTAGAAACTGGATGAAATGTAAATAAGTGATCTATAAGTCAGATATTTTTATGCAAATGGGTCATTGATTTTGCTTAATCATTGAAAAAGCCTTGGATTGCTCAAATGACTGGTGAAAAATAAAGTATCTCAAGATAAAATTATTTTGAATTGAGGATAGGCCCTGATTCCAATGACTGGTGTCTTTATAACAGAAAGGAATAGGAAGTTTGAGACACTGAGTCACACAGTGACTTTATATGGAAAATACCATATAAAGACTGAGGCAGAAATTGGAGTTATCAGCCACAAACCAAGGAACACCACCAGACGCAAAGAAAGATTCCCTTTTAGAGTCTTTGAAGAAAGTGTGGCCCTGACGACATCTTGAATTTGGACTTCTGGCCTCCAAAACATTTACTCATATAACACCCAAGACACCTCTCTCACAGAACTGTGAAAGAATACATTTCTTGTTAAGTCACCAATTTTGTGATAATTTGCTGTGGCCATTAGAATTATCCCCCACTGTGGTCAGAAAATAATCAGCAAGATAAATACACCTAAAGTTATATAATGTACAATTTTAATTACACATACATGTATATGTGTAAAAGTTATATAAAGCTATGCACATGCAATACATGATGATCTATTTAATAAATAAAAGTAATAACTGATCCCCAAATGTTTGGGCTACTGGCATTATGTATATCAGTGTTTCACAAACCCAACGGTACAGTTACTTGTGGAGCTTTTTAACAATACAAGTTCTTTGGGCTCTAACCCAGAGCTATTAAATAAGATTTTCTAAGGATTGAGTTTAGGCATAGATATTTTAAATCTCCACAAGTAAGAAATAAAAAACCATGTCAAACCTACTATGACAATGTTCTAAAAATGCTGAGCAGCATTTATATATACCTTATAAAATGCATATTATTTTCCAGAAACAAAAGATTAATGGAAGTAGCTCATAACATTAAGTTTTCAAAGAAAACATTCAGGAAATGGGCACTCTTTTAAAGACTTGGTTTATATTTTTAAAAAATGCTTTCACTGGTATGTTTCTGACGCAAGGTTAACAAAAACTTCTAACTATTACTTGTTAAATAACTGACTTGCAATTACAAATTACAGGTCAGGCTGTACTCTCCAAAGAAAAACGTCATATTTTGTTTAATACTTGCTAGATTCAATATCATCCAGAGTGCCTACTTCTATTGCTGCCCAATTAGAAGTGTCATCCCCCAAGTAAAGTTTCTTATCTTTTCAAATATCTGTAGCCAAGTAGAAGGCAGACAAGTAAAAAGAAAAAAAAACACCTCAATTTTAAAGACGGAAGAGAGATATGTAAAATTCTAAACGCTGTATGGTTAAAAGTAACTTTTCCAGATCATTTTTAAAAATCTCCTGAAAGACAGGAGAATTGCTTGAGCCCAGAAAGAGGCAGTTTGCAGTGAGCCAAGATCGCACCATTGCACTCCAGCCTGGGCAACAAATGCAAGACTCTGTCTCAAAAAAAAAAAAGAAAAAAAAGAAAAATCATTTATTTTTGTTGAATAGGACCACTAATTATAAGAATACAAAGAAAGAAAAAAAAAACAGAAAAAGGCAAAGAATAATCGTGGACAGACAACTGAAGTCTGTTAACCTGGAGCACATAGCCAAATAACTGTATATTTGATAGGGAGGATTTGGATATGAATTCTAAGATAATTCTACCAAAATTCATGATGTTTTCATATTTTAATTAAGGAAGTGAAACTTCAACTCAAATATGTGGACATTGGAGTAGAATTACTAACATTCTTCAGGAATTTAATATGACTCGACTTATTTTTTTCCTCTAATATATCCATATTTGTTCATGTAACACCTAAGACAATATGGATGAAAATGAAGGGTAACCTAGATTCTCAGTCTATAAAGTATACAGATTGATAATCAGCAAGATTAAATTGAGTGGTCTGAGCTGGATACTACTTAACTATACCCAAATAATCTTTGCATCATGACTACTATGTATAAAATAACAGAAAAACTATTATCAAACATTTTTATTTGTTAATAATTGTCTTAGTTCAATTTATGTTAACTTTTATTTTCCTTTTGGTTTTCTGTGTCTTCTACAGCTTTCCATTTTACCAGGCTCACCCTAACTTGTTTTACATTTAAGATCAGATAACATTTTTCTTTAAGTATATTTTTCAAATTGAATGAAAATTCATCAGAGGGATAAATAAAATTAAACAATAGGACAAAATCAAATGCACTTTCCCCACCTCTCCTTCATCTTAAAGATATGTTTGTGAGGGGACTCTGATGCAATCAATTTCTCGTTGAATCCAGTGATCTCTGGAACTATTAAAAGATAGATAAAAGATATCTAAAAGATATCTAAAAGATAAACAAAAATAATAAATTACATAAAATAAAAAAATTTAGACACTAGTAGGTATCTAAAAGGCAGAAAACTAGAGACGAAAGGTGATGGCACTGATAAACGAAGGTGAAGTTGTTAACACTTACTGAAGTCAAGGACTTCATTTTGGAGAAGTTAATAATTTTAAAATATATTTCCAAGGCTCTATTTGGACCTAGCGTCTATTCTGTCTGTTAATATCACTGACACCATCACTATCACCCTTTTGGTGATTGTATAAAGATATTCTGTTTTATGTTTAAGTAACGTTAATTCCATACCTGGATAATTGTAAGCACTATTTAATTCAATCGTATTTCAGGAGAAAAAAAAAAACATTGATTTAAAAAAAAAAATGCCTCCAGCTCACTGCCCTTAACTAATCAGAAAGGTTAGATTAGCTAGTTACCAATAATTGAAGTACAAAATACACAGCTTTACAATTTATGTAAGAGATATTGATGAGATGTTTTAAATTAATTTTCCTTTTCACCTCTGAAGCACCTATCATCCATCTCCTCCATCACATAACAACCTTAAACAACAAAAATATGACCCAAGGAAGAATAGGGTGTGAAAACTCCTGACCTTGGCTCTCCATAAATTCAGCAGAGAAAATAGACCTTGGAAAATGCACTTGCAGGTAAATGTTAGATGTCATCAATACTAAATAATAGAATAAATATTTACTTATCTAATGAAAAAGTGTGTTTCATGGTTGAAATATTTTATTTTATTTTATTTATTTTATTTTATTTTATTTTTATTTTTTTGAGACTGAGTCTCGCTCTGTCGCCCAGGCTGGAGTGCTGTGGCGCCATCTTGGTTCACTGCAAGCTCCGCCTCCCGGGTTCACGCCATTCTCCTGCCTCATCCTCTCTAGTAGCTGGGACTACAGGTGCCCACCACCACGCCTGGCTACTTTTTTTGTATTTTCAGTAGAGACGGGGTTTCACCGTGTTAACCAGGATGGTCTCGATCTCCTGACCTTATGATCTGCCTGTCTCGGCCTCCCAAAGTGCTGGGATTACAGGCGTGAGCCACCGCGCCAGCCCAAAAAGATTTAATTTTATATATAATTTTACTTCAGGGTTTTTCAAAGGAATGCACCATATAGCAAATGTCAACTCTGGGAAATTTATGCATGGAAAATAAATTTTGTGAATGATCTTGGAAAATCTTTTACTTTTTATATAACAAACATGTCAGTCCAAAATAAAAATATGAAAATTCAAATATTACATTTAAATAAATTACATACTTAATTTTTCTTTTCTTTTTTTTTTTTTTTTGAGACGGAGTCTCGCTCTGTCACCCAGGCTGGAGTGCAGTGGCACGATCTCGGCTCACTGCTGCAAGCTCCGCCTCCCGTGTTCACCCCATTCTCCTACCTCAGCCTCGCGAGGAGCTGGGACTACAGGCGCCCGCCACCACGCCCGCCTAATTTTGTTTTTGTATTTTTAGTAGAGACGGGGTTTCACCGTGTTAGCCAGGATGGTCTCGATCTTCTGACCTCATGATCCGCCCGCCTCGGCCTCCCAAAGTGCTGGGATTACAGCCGTGAGCCACCGCGCCTGGCCCCACATACTTAATTTTTCTAATTTTTCTCCCAATCCTGTGCATTTGTATTCATTCTCATACATAGTTGTAACATCATTCTTTGTAAGAGTGTTTGTAATTGATTACATAGTCTTTACAATTCAACTAAGTTGGCATAACATTATTTATATTACCACATCTCACTGTTTGGGCATTTACTCTTATGATAACTTTTTGGACAAGGTTGGCCTTACCAATAATTTTATATTCCAGGGAGAAATAATAGTAATTTTAATGTATTCCTGTGAAAATAATAAAATCATGATTAGTAGAGAACAATGCATTGACATAATGGGATTCCTGAGCGTGTCTAACTATAGACACTGTTTTGTGCTATACTCTTTAAAAAGTTCTGAATTATCTTCTGTCTTAAATTACACACATATTGTTCTAACAGCAGAAATTGTCAACACGACTAGAATTAAACAAGCCCAATCTTTTATATAAACCAGACTGTATTTCAAACACTGAAAGGCATTTATGCCTACAGAGTATCTGCAAAATCACATCAGGATTTAAGTCTTCAGTTACAATATTATAAAAGGTCACAGTATTGATCCTTTTATTTTATGACGTTATTTTTCTCTGTCTGTATTTCTTTCATTCTCTCATTCAATAAGCATGTGCTGAGTTTCTAATGTACATCAGGCACTGAGCTAAACCCACTGTCTATGTGTGGATCATTCACTGTCTTCCATATCCTTCCTTCTATATAATGGTTAAGTATGTGTGTTTCTGTTTCTCTGCTTCCAACTGATCTCAGAATCTTCCATCCATTTTACATGCTTTTTTATCCACCCATTTCCTATTTTCCTTCCTCCCTTTTTATTCATCTGACATTCTTTTTTATCTAGACATTCCTTAATTCAAAGATGTGTTTGGTCTTTGTATTTACTAAATAGTTTTGTAGTTTCCATTCTTAATTTTCAAGAATGATGTTGGAATATTTCACACAGTTCATTTTTTAAGGTAAATTGAACATATACATTTGTTTAATGCAATTAATCATATAATAGCGATCTAAAATAACTATTCTTTTATATAAGATAAATAATACCTAATAACAAGTAAAAAATTACGGAATTTTTAATTAATTAGTAATGATAATCTTTAATGTCAATTTTATTATAAACTAAAAGTCTGTACAATATTGGACTACATAATTATACCATCTTATTTTTTGTTTAAATAATATATTTTAAAAGATAGGCTTTACCAAAATATGTGTATATTATTTTGTATTCAAATGGCATTTCAATGTTTCTAATTGAGATTGCAAAATTTCTTTAAAGTAGCCTATTTCCTATCCTGTTTAGCGCAGAGGTATCCCCGTCCTCTTTTTTCCACATATAACAACACTTAATATTAGAAAGAAAATAGTAGCACAAAGTGAATGCTATAAACATAACTTGGGAAGCATAGAAGAGGTCTAGGTCTTCTATTCTCTAAAAAGATGAGCATTTCACAGCTTAAAAGAAAGAGAAAAAAGGTGCAGGTGATGGAAGCCAGAGGTTGGTAAGAAAAAAATAAATAAACAAGGTGCCGCCTCCAATCTGGTCTACTCTATCCAGTGCCTTTGCCAGAGTCCCAGGATCTGAAATAGAATCCACAGCATCAGTTACCACTGACTATGCACTGATAGAGGCAAAGAGCCATTTCAGGCTTGTTTCAGGTGGCCTGTGGTGAGAACTTCTCACTTTGCCGCCTCTCCATCAGGAGTGTCTCCTGTGTCTGCCCAAAGCTTATCTCGGCCCCATCCAAATTATTCTGGACTACTTTTCAATGGCCCAGGATACTCATAATCCTCTTAAATGGAGGGTGGGGCCCTAGACACTGAGGAAGGTAGCAAGACTATGGAAGGGGAGCCTCCCTGTGCCTTAAGAGGACAGAGCAAACTTAATTTCCCCAGAGCCAGGACAAAGATGGAGGAGGGGCACTCATGTTAGTATAGACGTGTAAGTGGCATAAAAGACAGAAACAAGAAACCAGGTTCTCATTTCTACTTCGAGGGACTTAAATCTAGTCTTCTGGATTTTTCCTTTCTCTTGTCTTTCTCTTTTCACTCCTCCTCCTTAGCTAGAAGCACATTGGCAGAGTAATGAAAATCAATGCTGTTTTTTTCCCCCAAATATTTCAAGGTTTCTATACAGGTGATCGATATAAAAAATACTGCAAACTTTAACTGTAGATTCCTCAAGGCTAAATTTCTGACAGATGTCAATCAAGTGGTGGGGATTTGAATTCAGTACAACAAAAATTTCCAAGAGTGCTAGATAAAAATGTCATTTTGTAGCAATTAGCATCTCTCACTGAAAGAGCTCAAGTACTCACTAGAAGATAATTATTATCTCATATTCAAATCCCCACTGGTGTGAAGATGAAAATGATTTCAAGATTGGGCAACTGATTGTTTTGTCTGGGGAAATAAAAAAGTGCGTTACTTTCTGAGCTCTAACACAGAACACCCAATTCCTACCATGCAGAGACTGGTTAAAAAGTGCCTTCTGTAAGAACTTGGTACTTTTATTTCATAATCTAAAATTTATATTGACAAATAAAACAATAAACATTTTATATTTAATATTATTATTCTGCCAATCTTGAACAATTTGAATCTTTATAAAGAAATAGGCATATAGGAACTGGAATATTTTTATTCCATAATTTCAATTTTTTTACTCAAGAAATACAACAAATATGTAATCACAGAGATTAGCATATTTCTCTACCTGAATGCTCAGACACTTCTCTCTTTGTATCACATACAAATATATTCACACCAATACATACATAGTTATCTATTCAATTTTTTAAAATTCCATTATACTACATGCCTAAACTAGTCTAGGCACTGGGAATACTGTGAACAACCCAAAAAAATTCCTGCTAACACAAATTTTATGTATTTTTAAGTAAATACTCATGAAGCTTTGTACATTATTGTATTAAACAAACAATAAACTTCAAGAATGACAATAAAGAGAGATGTTTCCTGTATTGATATAAATTTTTTTTAAATTGGTATATTTATATCAATACTATAACAATTATAGTTGTGCTCATATTTAATGGTATACATAATCATGGTCTTAATGGGATTTAAGCATATATAGGAGGTAGCTTACTCAAAAGGCTGAGATGAATATTTACTTTGTATGTAAAAGTAATACCTAGTGTTCTCATTTGTGTCATTCACTATTTAAACTTCAAATTTTCTGTGACCCCATATATTGGCATACTCTTTAAATTTCATTACAATTTATACACCACACACAAATGAGTGCACACACACACAAATACACACACACACACACATACACACAGATTTCCTGATCTTATTTCTTACCAGTATAGTTTGGGTGTAGGAAGGCTCCTATTATTTCCTTTAATATATACCTCTTTATAAATTTATTAGAGAGTTTTGGCAGCATCTACTAATCCTGAGCTCTGTTTCCCTGGTTGTTGAAATGTATGAAATCACAGATCACTGAGCTATGACTGGTTTTCTCTTTTTTAATTTTTATTTCAATATTTTTTGGGGTACACGTGGTTTTTGGTTATATGGATGTGTCATTTTTGTTAATTTTTATTTTAAGTTCAGCGGTAAAAGTGCAAATTTGTTACTTAGGTAAACGTGTGTCATGGAGTTTGTTGTACAGATTACTTCATCACCCAGATATAAAGCCTAGTACCCATTAATTGTTATACCTGATCCTCTCCCTCCTCCCACTCTTTATCCTTCAAAAGGCCCCAGTGTGTGTTGTTCTCTTCTATGTGTCCATGTGTTCTCATGATTTCGCTCCCACTTATAAGTGACAGCAAGAAGTATTTGGTTTTCTGTTTCCACATTACTTTGCTAAGGATAATGGCCTCCAGCTCCATCCATGGCCCTGTAAAGGGCATGATCTCATTCTTTTTTATGGCTAAATAATATTCAATGGTGTATATGTACCACATTTTCTTTATCCAGTCTACTGTTGATGGACATTTAAGTTGATTCTATGTCCTTGCTATTGTGAATAGTGCTGCAATGAACATAAGCCTACATGTCTCTTTATAATAGAATAAATTATATTCCTTTGGGTATATATGCAGCAATGGGATTGCTGGGTCAAATGGTATTTCTGTCTTTAGGACTTTGAGGAATCGCCACACTGTCTTCCACAATGGTTCAACTAATTTGCACTCCCACCAACAGTATGTAAGTATTCCTTTTTCTCCACAACCTCACCAGCATCTGTTGTTTTTTGACTTTTTAATAGTAGCCATTCTGACTGATGTGAGATGGCATCTCATTGTAGTTTTGATTTGCGTTTTTCTAATGATCAGTGATGTTGAGCTTTTTTTCATGATTGTTGGCTGCATATATGTCTTCTTTTGAAAAGTGTCTATTATGTCCTTTGCTCACTTTGTAATTAGAGTATTTGCTTTTTTTCTTGAAAATTTGTTTAAGTTCCTTATACATGCTGGATATTAGACGTTTGTCAGATGCATAGTTTGCAAAAAATGTTCTTCCATTCTGTAGGTTGTCTGTTTACTTTATTGACAGTTTCTTTTGCTTTGTAGAAGCTCTTTAGTGTAATTAGATTCTATTTGTCAATTTTTGTTTTTGTTGCAATTGCTTTTGGTGTCTTTTCATGAAATCTTCGGCCCCTGCCTATGTCTTGAATGGCATTGGCTAGGTTGTCTTCTAGGATTTTTATAGTTTTTGGTTTTACATGTAAGTCTTTAATCCATCTTGAGTTAATTTCTTTATAAGGTGTAGGAAGGGATCCAGTTTCAATCTTCTGCCTATAATTAGCCAGTTCTCACAGCCACATTTGTTGAATAGGGAATCCTTTCCCCATTGCTTGTTTTTGTCAGCTTTGTCAATGATCAGGTAATTGTAGGTGTGTTGTTTTGTTTCTGGGTTCTCTATTCTGTTGCACTGGTCTGTGTGTCTGTTCTAGTACCAGTACCATGCTGTTTTGGTAACTGTAGCTCTGTAGTATAGTTTGAAGTCAGGTAGTGTGATGCCTACAGCTGTATTCATTTTGCTTAGGATTACCTTGGTTATTTGGGCTTTATTTGGGTTCCACATGAATTTTAAAATATTTTTTTTCAGTTCTGTAAATAATGTCAATGGTAGTGTAATGGGAATAGCATTGAAGCTATAAATTGCTTTGGGCAGTACGGTCATTTTACCAATATTGATTCTTCCTATCCATCAGCATGACATGTCTTTCCGTTAGTTTCTGTTATCTCTGAATTTTTAGGTAGTTGTTTGTAGTTCTCTTTGTAGAGATCTTTTACCTCCCCAGTTGGCTGTAATCCTAGGTATTTTATTCTTTCTGTGGCAATTATAAATGGGAGTTCGTTCATGACTTGGCTTTCGGCTAGACTGTTGTTGGTGTATAGAAATGTTAGTGATTTTTGCACATTGATTTTGTATGCTGAGACTTCGCCGAAGTTGTTTATCAACTTAAGAAGCTTTTGGGCTGAGATGATGGGGTTTTCTAGATATAGGATTATATCATCTGCAAACAGGTATAGTTTGATTTTCTCTCTTTCTATGTGAATGGCCTTTATTTCTTTATCTTGCCAGATTGCCCTGGCTAGGACTTCCAGTATTATGTTGAAAAAAGGGGATGAGAGAGGGCATCCTTGTCTTGTACTGGTTTTCAGGGGAAATACTTCCAGCTTTTGCCTATTCAGTATGATGTTGGCTGTGGGTTTGCCATAGGTGGCTCTTACTATTTTGAGGTATGTTCCTTCAATACCTAGTTTATTGAGAGTTTTTTTTTAATATGAAGTAATGTTGAATTTTATTGAAAGCCTTCTCTGTGTCTATTGACATAATATGTGGTTTTTGTCTTTAGTCTCTTTATATATGAATCACATTTATTGATTTGTGTATGTTGAACCAACCTTACATCCCAGGGATGAAGCCTACTTGATCATGGTGCATTAGCTTTTTGATGTGCTTATGAATTTGGTTTGTCAGTATTTTGTTAAGCACTTTTGCATGGATGTTCATCAAGGACATTGGCCTAAAGTTTTCTTTTTTGTTTGTATCTCTGCCGGGTTTTGGTATCAGGATGATGCTGGCCTCATAAAATGAGTTAGAGAGGAGTCCCTCCTTTTCAATTTTTTTAGAGTAGTTTCAGTAGGAATAGTACCAGCTATTCTTTGTACATCTGGTAGAATTCAGCTGTGAATCTGTCTGGTCCTCGGCTTTTTTTTTTTTTTTTTTTTTTTTTGGTCAGTAGGTTATTTATTATAGCCTCAATTTCAGAACTTTGTATTGGTCTATTAAGGGATTCAGTTTCTTCCTGGTTTAGTCTTGGGAGGGTGTATGTGTCTAGGAATTTATCTATTTCTTCTAGATTTTCTAGCTTATGGGCATAGAGTTGCTCATAATATTCTCTGGTGGTTATTTGTATTTCTGTGGGGTCACAGGAAATATCCTCCTTATCATTTCTGATTGTGTATATTTGAATATTCTCTTTTCTTCTTTATTACTCTAGCTTCTGTTCCATCTATTTTATTAATTTTTTTCAAAAAACCAGCTCCTGGATTCGTTGATCTTTTGAATGGTTTCTCGTGTCTCTATATCCTTCAGTTCAGCTCTGACTTTGGTTATTTCTTGTCTTCTGCTAGCTTTGAATTTGTTTGCTTTTGGTTCTCTAGTTCTTTTAGTTATGATGTTAGGTTGTTAGCTTGAGATCTTTCTAATTTTTTATTTGGGCATTTAGTGCTGTACATTTCCTTCTTATCACTGCCTTAGCTGTGTCCCAGAAATTTTGGTATATTATATCTTTCTTTTTATTAGTTTCAAAGAACTTCTTGATTTCTGCCTTAATTTCATTATATACCCAAAAGGCATTCAGGAGCAGGTTTTTCAATTTCCATGTAATTGTATCATTTTGAGTGAATTTCTTAGTCTTGAGTTCTAATTTGATTGCTCTGTGTTCCGAGAGACTGTTTGTTATTATTTCAATTCTTTCGCATTTGCTGAGAAGTGTTTTACATCTGATTATATGGTTGATTTTAGAGTAAATTCCATGTGGCTATAAGAAGAATGTATATTCTGTTGTTTTGGGGTGGAGAGTTCTGTAGATGTCTATCAGGTCCATTTGATCCAGTGCTGAGTTCAGGTCCTAAATATCCTTGCTAATTTTCTATCTCAATGGTCAGTCTAATATTGTCGGTGTGGTATTAAAGTCTCCCACTATTATTGTGTGGGAGTCTAAGTCTCTTTCAAGTCTCTAAGAAGTTGCTTTATGAATATGAGTGCTCCTGTGTTGGGTACATATATATTTAGGATAATGAGATCTTCTTGTTGAACACTTTACCATTATGTAATTCCCTTCTTTGTCTTTTTTTTTTTATCTTTGTTGGTTTAAAGTCTGTTTTGTTTTATTTCCAGAAACTAGGAATGCAACCCTTGTTTTTTTCTGTTTTCCATCTGCTCATTAGATTTTCCTCCATTTCTTTATTTTGAGCCTATGTGTGTCACTGCATGTGAGATGGGTCTCTTGAAGACACATACCAGTGTGTCTTGGTTCTTTATCCAGCTTGTCACTCTGTGTCTTTTAATTGGGACATTTAGCCCATTTACGTTTAGGGCTAGTATTGATATGTGTGGATATGATCCTATCATTATGATGTGAGCTGGTTATTTTGCAGACTTGTTTGTGTGATTGGTTTATAGTGTCACTGGTCTGTGTGCTTCAGTGTGTTTTTGTAGTGGTTGGTAACGGTCTTCCTTTTCACATTTAGTGCTTCCTTCTGGAGCTCTTGTAAGGCAGGTCTGGTGGTAACAAATTCCCTCAGCATTTGCTTCTCTGCAAATGATCTTACTTCTTCTTTGCTTATGAAGCTTAACTTGGTCAGATATGAAATTAGGGGTTGGAATTTGTTTTCTTTAAGAATGTTGAATATTGGTCCACAATCTCTTCTGGCTTATAGGGTTTCTGCTCAGAGGTCCACTGTTAGTCTGATGGGTTTCTCTTTGTGGGTGACCTGACCTTTCTCTCTAGCTGCCTTTAACATTTCTTCTTTCATTTCAACCTTGGAGAATCTGATGATTATGTGTCTTGGGCATGACCTTCTTGTGAAATATCCACTGGGATTCTCTGCATTTCCTGAATTTGAATGTTGGCCTTTCTAGCTAGGCTGAGGAAGTTCTCATAAATGATATCTTGAAATGTGTTTTCCAGATTTGTTCCATTCTCCCATCTCTTTCAGGTACATCAATCATTCATAGATTCAGTTTCTTTACATAATCCCATATTTCTCAGAGGTTTTGTTCATTCATTTTCAATATTTTTTCTCTATTATTGTATGCCTGTCTTATTTCAGAAAGGTAGTCTTCAAGCTCTGAGAATCTTTACTCTGCTTGATCTATTCTGCTATTAATACTTGTAATTGCAATATAAAACTCTCATAGTGTGTTTTTCAGCTCTATCAGTTTGACTTTATTCTTCTATGTACTGGCTATTTTGTCTGTCAGCTCCTTCAATGTTTTATCGTGATATTTAGTTTCTTTGCATTGGGTTTCAATGTACCCCTTTAGCTCAATGACTCAGTGACATGAATTCTGCTTCTGTCATTTCAACCATCTCAATCTCAGCCCAGTTCTGAACCCTTGCAGGAGAGGTGATGTGGTCATTTGAAGGAAAGAGGGCACTCTGGCTTTGAGTTTTCAGCATTCTTGTGCTGATTCTTTCTCATCTTTGTGGGCTTATCTACCTTCAAACTTTAAGGTTGCTGGCCTTTGGGTGGGTTTTTTTTTTTCTTTTAACAGTCTGGCCACTTTTCCATAGGGCTTCTGTGTTTTGTGTGGGTCTGCTCCAGTCCCTAGTCACCTCAGATATTCCAGTACATTAAGGTATTGCCAGTGAAGGCTATGAAACAGCCAAAATGGCAGCCTGCCCTTTCCTCGGGGAGCTCCATCCCAGGGAGGTACAGACCTGTTACTGGCCTGAATGCACCTGTAGAAGGTGGCTGGAAACCCTGGCTGGGAGGTCTCACTCAGTCAGGAGGCACAGGACCGGGGGACCCACTTAAAGAATCAGTCTGGCCATGTTTTTATACAGCAGCTGTGTTGTGCTGGGGTACTGCTTCTGCTCCTAGTCAGCTTGGGCTCCCCAAAGCCTGGAGGCTGGAATGGCTGAGTCACCCAAGCAGCACGGATGGTGGCCCACCTATCCCTCTGCGTGCTCTGTCACCAAAGGTTTTCAATTCTCTGTTGGCCAGAGAAAACTGGCAGGATTGGCAGGAAGCCCCAGTTGGAAACTTCCACTCCGTAAGGAGGAATGAAATAGGGGACCCACTTAAAGAAACAGTCTACTCATGCTTTCATAGAGCAGCTGTGCTGTGTTGGAGTACCGCTTCTGTCCTGGTTGGCTTGGGGTCTCTGAAGCCCACAGCTGGAACATCTAAGCAGACTCCTCCCTCTGGGAACTCTGTCAGGAGAGAATTCAAATCTCTGATCAGCCAGAGAACACCAGTGGGGGTGTCTGGAGGCCACAGTTGGGAGGTTTTGCCTAGTAAGGAGGAACCAATCAGGAACGTGCTTACAGAAGCAGTCTGGCCACATTTTGGTAGAGCAGCTGTGCTGTGCTAGGGGGTCCCTTCTGCCCCTAGTTGGCCTGGACTCTCCAAAGCTCACAGACTGGAATGGCTGAGTCATCCAAATAGCAAAGACGGCAGCTTATCCCTCCCCCGAGAACTCTGTCAAAAGGAGGCCCAATACTGTTGCCAGTGGCTGGCTGGAATTCCAATCCAGTGGGTCTTATCTTGTAAGATGCCATGGAAGTGGGGCCCGCAGACCATTGCTGCTTGGCCCCTAAGAGTCAGTCTCTTTCCTAGGGGTATGTAAAAAGGTCCAACCTCCCATCTTGCCAAAGTTGCAGCTACTTTTGCTGGGAAGCTCAGAGCCAGAGTATGTAAAGCTCCTGGAACTCTGTACGTGCCTGAGTGGCTGCTCTGCCAAGACTCCACAGAGCTTTGTATGTTAGACTGAATGCCTCGGTGGAGTGCGTTCATGAGGGGATCTCCTGACCTGAGGGGTTGCAAAGATCCATGGAAGAAGCCTGCTTTCCCAGGGATGCACATTCACTCACCACTTCCCTGGGTGGGGGAGGTTCCCTTGGCTCTGTGTCCCTCCCAGGAGGGCTATCGTTTTTGCCTTGCTTTTCTTCATTCTCTGTGGGTTGAGTTGTTTCCTTTAATAGTCCCAATGCAAGTACATGGATGTTTCAGTTGAAGGAGCTGTATTAACTCACCGTTTTCATTCCTCTCTGTGAGAGACGTGCACCGTAGCTGCTTCTAGTTGGCCATCTTGGCCACTCCCAATAAATACTTGAATGGTGATTTCTGACGGTTTAGTCCACCTGTCACCCAAGAAGTGTACACTGTACCCAATGTGTAGTCTTTTATCCCCCACCCCCCCAACATTTCTCCTCAAGTCCCCAAAGTCCAGTATATTATTCTTATGCCTTTATTTCCTCATAGCTTAGTTCCTACTTATAAGTGAGTACATACAATATTTGTTTTTCAATTCTAAGTTACTTCACTTAGAATAATGACCTCCAGCTCCATCCAAGTTGCTGCAAAAGACATTATTGCATTCATTTTTATGGCTGAGTAGTATTCCATGGTGAATATATAGCACATTTTCTTTATCCATTTGTTGGTTGATGGGCACTTAAGTTGGTTCCATATCTTTGCAATTGCAAATTGTGCTGCTATAAACATGTGTGTTCATGTGTCTTTTTCATATGACTTCTTTTCCTTTGGGTAAATACCTAATAGTGGGATTGCTGGATCGAATGATAGTTCTTTTAATTATTTAAGGAATCTCCATCCTGTTTTCTATAGTTGTTGTACTAATAATTTACAGTCCCATCAGCACTGTAAAGTGTTCTCTTTTCACTAAATCTATGCCAACATCTATTGTTTTTTGACTTTTTAAATTATAGCAATTCTTCCAGGAGTAAGGTGTTATCTCATTATATCATTATGGTTTTAATTTGTATTTCCCTGATGATTAGTGATATTGAGAATTTTTTCATATGGTTATTGGCCATTTGTATATCTTCTTTTGAGATTTCTTCTATTCATGTCCTTTGCCTGCTTTTTGATGAGATTATTTGTTTTTTACTTGCTGATTTAAGTTCCTTGTAGATTCTGGATACTAGTCCTTCGTCAAATGTATACTTTGCAAACATTTTCTCTCATTCTGTGGGTTTTCTGTTTACTATGCTGATTATTTCCTTTGCTATGAATAAGCTTTTTAGTTTAATTAGGTCCCATGCACTTTTTTTGTTGTTTTTGCATTTGCTTTGGAGGTCTTAGTCATGAATTATTTGCCAAGCCAATGTCTAGAAAAGTTCTTCCAATGTTATCTTCTGGAATTTTTATGGCTTCAGGCTTTAGATTTAAGTCCTTGATCCATCTTTATTTGATTTTTGTATGGGTGAGAGATTACAATACAGTTTCCTTCCTCTACTGGCTTGCTAATTTTCCCGGCACCATTTATTGAATAGGGTGTCCTTTCTCCAATTTACATTTTTGTTTGCTTTGTCAAAGATCAGTTGGCTGTAAGCATTTGGCTTTATTTCTGGACTTTCTATTCTGTTCCATTGGTCTATGTGCCTATTTTTATACTAGTGACATGCTGTTTGTGTAACTATAGCCTTGTAGTACAGTTTGAAGTTGAGTAATGTGATGCCTCCAGATTTGTTCTTTTTACTTAGTATTGCTATGCGGACTCTTTTTTGGTTCCATATGAATTTTAGGAATGTTTTTTCTAGTTCTATGAAGAATGCTGATGGTATTTTGATGAGAATTGCATTGAATCTGTAGGTTGCTTTAGGCAGTGTGGTCATTTTATACAATATTGATTCTCTCTATCAATGAGCATCGATGTTTCCATTTGTTTGTGTCATCTATGATTTCTTTTAGCAGTGTTTTGTAGTTTTCCTTGTAGAGATCTTTAACCTCCTTGGTTAAGTATATTCTTCAGTATTTTATTTATTGATTTATTTTTGCAGCTGTCATAAAGGGATTGAGTTCTTTATTTGATTTTCAGTTTTGTTGTTCACATATAGCAGTGCTACTGATTTGTGTACATTGACTGTATGCTGAGATTTTACTGAACTTGTTTATCAGATCTAGGATCTTTTCGGATGAGTCTTCAGGTTATACAACCATATCATCTGTGAATAGTGACAGTTTGACATATCTTTTCCTGTTTGGATGCCCTTTCTTTCTTTCTTTTTTCTGATTGCTCTATCTAGGACTTTCAGTACTATGTTAAATAGACGTGGTGAAAGTGGGCATCCCTGTCTTGTTCCAGTTCTCAGGGAGAAGGCTTTCAACTTTTCCCCATTCAGTATGATGTTGGCTGTGGGTTTGTCATACATGGCTTTTACTACTTTGAGGTAAGTCCCTTCTATGCCTATTTTGTTTAGGGTTTTATCATAAAGGGACACTGGGGTTTATCAAATAATATTTTTTATGTCAATTGAAATGATCATATGGTTTTTGTTTTTGATTCTATTTTTGTGATGTATCACAGGTATTGATGTTAAACCATTATGTTAAACCATTCCTGCATCCCTCGTATGAAACCCACTTGATCACGATGTATTTTCTTTTTGGTATACTGTTGGATTCAGCCAGCTGGTGTTTTGAGAATTTTCACATCTATCTTCATCAGGAATATTGGTCTGTAGTTTTCTTTTTTTGTTATGTCCTTTCCTGGTTTTGGTATTAGGTTGATACTGGTTTCATAGAATGATTTAGGGAGGATTCTCTCTTTCTCTATCTTTTGAAATGGTTTCAGCAGAATTGGTACCAATTCTTGGAATGTCAGATGATATGATTCAGCTGTGAATCCTTCTGGTCCTAGGCTTTTCTTTTTTAGGTATTTTTTTAAATTACTGATTCAATATTACTACTTGTTATTGCTCTGCTCTGGGTTTCTATTTCTTCCTCATTTAATCTAGGGACGTTTGTATATTTTCAGGAATTTAACAATTTTCTCTAGATTTTCTAGTTTGTGCACATAAAGGTGTTCATAGTAGCCTTGAATGATCTTTTGTGTTTCTGTGGTATTGGTTGTAATTTCTCCAGTTTAGTTTCTAATTGAGCTTATTTAGATCTTCTCTCTTCTTTTCTTGGTTAATCTCACTAATGGTCTGTCAATTCTGTTTTTATCTTTTCAAAGAACCAGCTTTTTGTCTCATATGGCTGGCTTTCATTAGCTGGCATTGGCACTATGGGGAGAGGGCATAAAAGACCTCTGGATCTCCAGCTGTGTGATATTAGGGCAGAAGGATAGGAAAGACAGAAAAGATTAAGATTAAAAGATAGGAAAGAGAAAGGAAGAGAATTCGGACATTTCAATGGTTCTAAATGGCTGTCTAATATTTTCCCTCTAAGAGCCAAAATGAATAATGCAAATTTATCTTCAGGGCTTTTCATTCACATGACTTTGAACACTGAAAGAAGTCTCCTTATCTGAGAGCTGCTGCCATACCTGCTTGACAGGATCTGAAATTCCTTCAGTGCAGTTTTCATAGATGCCCATGTCCACAGGGCCAGATGGGAAATGCAAATAAGAGCAGCAGAGTTGGAGAAAGGAAAGAGCAAGACCAGCATTTCACCAATAAAAATATATTATTAGAAGAAAGCAAAAAGAGGGCTTAAAACAGCTGTCTTAGGTGTATGGCCCTTCCTGCAAATTACTAGCTTTGGCTGATCACTTTTAGAATTAAAATGAAAAAAAAAAACATACAGCTATGTAATATGACACTAATTACATTAAAGTATTTTAAATTACAGACATTTTACCCAGGAAAAAATTTATATAGTTTGTTGGCCAGGCGCAGTGGCTCAAGCCTGTAATCCCAGTACTTTAGGAGGCCGAGGCAGGCAGATCACTTGAGGTCAGGAGTTCGAGACCAGCCTGGACAACATAGTGAAACCCTGTATCTGCTAAAAATACAAAAATTAGCTGGGCACAGTGGCATGTTCCTATAATCCCAACTACTCCAGAGACTGAGGCAGGAGAATCACTTGAACCCGGGAGGTGGAGGTTGCAGTGAGCGGAGATCGCGTCACTGCACTCTAGCCTGGGCAACAGAGTGAGACTCTGTCTCAGAAAAAAAAAAATTATATAGTTTGTATAAAATATCTTCATTTTTAAATATTGGCACCTAATTCAAATTACATTTAAACTATTATGTACCAATATCAAAGGATACAAAACTTAAGTTAGAAAAGAGGAGTAAGTTCAAGAGATCTATTGTACAACATAGTGACTGTAGTTAATAACAATGTATTGTATTTTTGAAAAATGATGACAGTAGATTTTAAGTGTTCTCACTACAAAAATACTACATAAGGTAATGCATACATTAATTTACTTGATTTAGCCATTCCACAATGTATATATATTTCAAAACATCATGTTGTACACAATAAATATATACAGTGTTGTCAGTTAAAAAATATGTTAAACAATAAAAATACATAAATATAGAAAAAGATCAAGTAAGTTCAGTGAAAAAGATATTGTTTACCAAATATGATGCATATTCGTATGGCAAGTTGCTGTTTTATGGTCCGTGCTTTAATAAAAGTTTTTAAAAAATTATTTTAGTCAGAATTAAGCAGCTAGAAAATGCTAAGAGATTTAGTAGAGGAGAATGAATACGTTTCAGTCTGAATATAAATGACTACCAATCCTTTCCTGCTTGAGGACGTATATTTAAAAAATGAGAAGGGAATGGAGAGAAGGATATTATATAGAAGAAATGGTTACAGAGAGATGTTGAAGACTACAATAACTAATTGGTAGCTTTCACAATTCTCCAGCCAGTTATTTGACCCTTCCTCAACTCTGTGTGGGGCAAGGAGTAAGAGCTGGTCCAGAGTGAGGTTTGCTTTTGTGTAGGGTGCACCCTAGCATCCTAACAGAAAGAGGTCTCACTGTATAATCACTTCATGGCATATTTTGTGTCTGTAAGTATTCCTGATACTAAAATATTTTACTCTGTTTTCCAACATCCAATTACATTTAAAAGAAGTTCCACCAAAAAATAACTGAAGCATGATCTTTGAGAGTTTATCTAGTCACAAGTATTTTTAAATGCTCCACAGACAATTATGAATCTCACTAAAGTTGAAAAATTATTGCCCCATAACTTCACGAGATTAAACAATTAATGTAAAGCTCACGGGGTATAATGCAGTTGTTCCGGCTATAAAGGACTCATGTAGTGGGGAAGATAGAGGTGACTGGGAAAAACAAGGCAGGAAGGAGTCTCTGGGTGTGAAGAAGGACATAATGTGAAGGATCAAAGTACTTCCCCTTCTGCCACCTGCCTTCAGGTCTCCTGTATGTATATATGGTCTTTTTCACAGAGTCCAAATTTCCAACCTTTATCATTCACACTGCATTCTTTTAGCCCACCTCCTTGATTTGACACTTCAGCCTTATTTTCTCATGGTCTTTCTCACTGTAATCAACTTCTTCTATTTAACCATCTCAGTCATTCCCAACTCATCATTTTTCTAAAAACTTTTAGAAACAATTATCCCATTTTAATATTCCATACCTTGATCATGGTGGTGGCTATACAACTCTGTGCGTCTGTCAAAACTCATAGAACTATATATCTAAAAGGTAAATTGTACGATATGTTTAGTATACCTAAATATACCTGACTTTAAAAATAAAGCATATTTTTTAATGTTCTATTTTCAGTCCCAGTCACTTCTTTCAGACTCTACAAATAAAAGGGAGAAGAAATAGAAAAGAAGTGGGCACAAATTCGGGCAGGCTTATGGAAATAGCATACTATATGTGTGCTATGGTATACCTTTACCAAGTTGAGTAGTTAATGTAGCTTTTATTTTAATCTCAAATTAGGACTGTTGGCACAACCAGTAGAGTATGGCTAATAAAGCATAAATTAGGGAAAAAGTGGTAAGGATACCTTTTTACTATTTTACAGTTTGAGGTTCAAGTTTTTCCTGGATAGAAAGAAAAAAATAATCTTTTTATCATTGCCAACTTTTTTAGTGGAGAAAAATTACTCTTTTTAAGTAGAGATCAACTGGATCCTGCCTTTGACAGTAGACCTTCCCTTAAGGTCTCATCAGTAGAGCTCTTAGATGGTCAAAGGACAATACAATTAGCAAAGTTTGATAAACATGCTTCCTCCTCAGAACTGTTTCATTAAGTGCTTTTCTCACTAGAATTATAATGAGAGCTGTGGAGCTATAGCAGCCGAGATTGGGGGTAATGATTCATCAGGTTATGGAGCTCTTACAGAAGTCCAATCCCATAAATTTTCTTTAGTACACTCTCTTGGCTGAGTTTTAATTATAATAGGTCATGTTAACTTGATCAATGTTTCTAAGTCCATGGAGATACAGAGCTAAGGTACCACCTGGAAATATTAGTTTAAATCTCATTTGTGTCCACATACTCTTATGATAAATTGCTAATGAGATTTCTTAATATTAGAATTGTTTCTGTTGAACACTTCGGTAGATTTGTTTTGGTGCTTGCCATCTCTTTTCCCTCTGTGTAAGTCAATATTTTAAATCTATACTGTGCTTTTATTTCTCTTGTGCCCACATCTAATAGCAACCTTATTTATAGGTTTTCTGTCAACTGCCTTTATCTCCCAATAGCATGGCATCTATCAGAAGAGAGAACTGCTAACACTCCCACTGACTCTCAATCAAGAATTTTCCCTGTTTGGTTTCTCTTCATAATTAGTAACTCCACTCATCTGTGTTTCACAATTGCATTTCAGATGGTCTGGGCTAGGGTAATAGAAATAAGAGGAAATGTGGCTACTAACCTACCCAGCTAAATGGTGGCTTTGTAAACTGGAAAGTAGATAGTTTCTGATATCATGTGATTTTCAAATCTTGGAAAGACTCTTCTTTTCCAAACTGGCTCCTTATTTATTAAATTTCTTTCACTGGTCATCTAACTTCATGGAACTTTAAGCTAATCATCTTTCAACTCTTGAATACTTTCCTGCACATCTGTGCTTTAAGATCTTCCAGAAACTATAACTTCAACATTTCAGATATTTGTTGAAAAAGCTTTTAAAATCAGATAACTTTAAGGAGAAATATCATTCACTGATGCCTTAATGTGAATGAGTTTTACATTAGAAGGTAGAGTGGAATGAGGGGGAGAGAAATAGAAGATTATTTTGCAGTTCAGAAAGGGTTGATTTTCATCTAGGATATAAAGGCTCAGGTTAACCAGAGGTCTGTTTATCTCACACTCATTCTTAACTTTAAGATTTATATTTTTTTTACTGAGAAAAGCATTTATACATAAACAACAGATAAAACCTGCAGGCTAAAGGGAAGAAGGTCCTCATGTAAGAGGCCTGGTGTAAGAAAACGGGGAGAATATGTTAACCATTCAGAAAGTTTTTGAGCGATGAAATAGTGTATGGCAAAAAGATCCAGAAACAACAAACAGGATAGAATTCTTATTAAGATTGTGAATCCAATGGGATTCCTTCTCAGATAATTCGGGTACTGTTTGGAATAAAGTTTTCAAAAGTGTCCATAAAGGTTAACAAATTAGTTTCGATTTGAAATATCACAACCATTTTTTCTTGCTTTCTTGGGATTGAGGCTGAAAGAGTTTCATTGAATTTTCACCAGAAATGAGCTCTTTCAGTGTGCTCTTTTAAATGCTATTAAGGGCTACCTATGTTCTGAATAATTGATTTTTATAAGAAAAAATAATATATGGGTAAGTTACCAGATAATGGGTTTTCAGATCTCCATTAACAGCCATCTGCCAAGATTTCATGTTACTACTTTAGTGTCTATGTTTAGGACACTGTTTAATGAATCAGACTAAGTGGCAGCTCAGTTTCACAATCTAGGTCATGTGATCACAACTGTGGAAGAGAGAAGTGGGCATCTGACCCATAGAGAGGTCCTTTGCCACCATTTCCCTGCTAATTACATTATACATAAACTGTCTCAGTTGAAAAGCTCTGATGCAGGTTTTTTTGAAATACTTGTTTGTTTTCACCTGCTTTCATTGGAAGCAGCTAAATATGAGTCCTCAAGCTAAAAATCTGAAAATTCTCTTTGATTTTCCTCTATTTCTCATCTTTCACTTCCTAACAATTGCCAAGTCAATATAATTTCATCATTACTTTCTTCTCATATTTGATCACTACTGCATTTAAGAAACTTCCCAGTATCAACGAAAAAAAGAAATATTTTTATGTATATATTCTTATAAATTATATATATGTTACTATCATTTCTACTACTTTTGGAGCCAGATAGGTCACTTCATCCCTCCACATATCCAGCACCCCAGACACGCTAGGAGACTGTCTGGTACCATTGTTGGTTCTTTCAAATCTTAATTCCTGCTTTTCCCTGGGCATGAAAATTCATCTCATCTTGTCTGATTATTGAAGTCATACTCATGCTTCAAGACTCAAGACTTCATTAAACATTTCAATGAACAAATCTCTTTCATGTACCTACTTGAGCACATTAGGCTGCGTGCCAAGTGCTGGGTGCTCACATGTGTGCTCCTCTGTCAAGTCATCTCCACACTTCTACATCAGAAATAAGAGCGGCTCGTAAGTGGAGTTGAACAATGAGAACACATGGACACAGGGAGGGGAACATCACACACTGGGGCCTGTCGGTGGGTGGAGAGGCTAGGGGAGGGATAACACTAGGAGAAATACATAATGTAGATAACAGGTCGATGGGTGCAGCAAACCACCATGGCACTTGTAGACCTATGTAACAAACCTGCACATTCTGCACGTGTATCCCAGAACTTCAACTATAATATAATAAAGAGTGACATTTTCTGCTCCCTTCCAGCTCTCATTTCACCTTGACTTGTGTTAGTTACCTGTTCAAATGCTTGTCTTCTTCATTGTATTGTAAGCTCTTAACAGAATATGCTTAAGAACTACTATGATCCTTTATGTATGAAGATTCTTTTGTTGAAATAATAAAGGAATTAATGAATAATGATTAGAATGTAGGTGAATGGACTTCTTGTTCCAAATATAGATTAGACACTCAAGTTTACTCCTCCTACATCCCACTAAACACTGAATGATTGTAAAGTTATTAAATAAAGAATAAATTCATTAAAACTCTGAGAATGGAAGGTAGTGGAAAATTGAACTAAGATTAAGGCACACTTCAGGAAAAAAAGAAAGGTTCCCATGGGAGAAAAATGCAGCAGAGGAAGTTGTGTGTGTGTGTGTGTGTTTTAATTTTATTTGGTTTTTGTTTGTTTGTTTCTCATGAAGAAATTCTGTGGTGTTGATAAATATAACAAGTCAGAATAGGAGACAGAGCACAAAATGAGATGATTGATCAAAAACTGCAATTGCACAAGCTACACAAATCAATGTCCCAAACAAGTGCAGTAGCCATGTGTACCCCCTGGGCTAACACCAGAAACTTACTAACTAAGGAAATTGAGGAATTGATACGGGTGAAGCTAGAATGTTCTAAGACTGGAGAGTTGTCCCTATTTCAGTTATCTATTACTGCATGATAAAATGTTCCAAAAGTTAGCAGTTTAGCTCATAAATATATGGACCAGGATTGGGGGCAGTGAGAGTTTCCCACTGCACAGGGATTATTCAGTCAGCTGCAGCTGGCTTGCAGCTAGGCTGGACTAGAAGGTCTGAGAAAGCTTCACTCGCATTGCTTCCTCAGTGCGCCTCCACGTGGCAGCCCTCTCTATACATGGCTAGCTTGGGCTTCTCGGTAGCAGGATGACCTTGAAACAGTGGCTCTTCTCACAAGGCCATTGGCTTCCAAGTGGTAAAGGCAGAGGCCATAGACTTCCCAGACTGGGAAGTTTTATATAGTCACTTCTGCTATATTCTGTTGGAAACACAGATACCAAGGAAAGCCCAGATTCCAGCAGAGGGGAAATAGACTTCATAATTAATGAGGTCAAGGTAAAGTCACACTGCAAAATAGCATATGGGATAACAAGTATTTTGGGGACCAATTTTGGAAACACACCTTCTGCCCTCAGTCCACAAAAATTTCCTCTCTCATGAAAAACACACTCGTCACTCTCCCCCAAAATTTCATTCTATTACATCAGACCTAGGCTTGAGGACAAGAATTTCTTTATCTAAATTGGGCCCAGGTGAGAATAAGTTTCTTCAGGTGTTATTCTTTGGGCATCTTATCTTCAGAGATGAATGGATAAAAAACTAAAAGATATTTTTCTTGACCCATACCCAACATATATTGGGAAAATAGAAACAGAATAACTGCAACAGCCCCTGTCATTCAAAAAAGGAGGAAAAAACAGGAAACTACACAGTAGTCAGTCATCCACAGCAATTTTGAAATCCACCTAGCATATGTCGTCAACCCCTGGTGCTGTGGGGAAAATAAATGTACACTGATTAAAGTCCAGATCTGCTCTCCAGAAGTGGGTCTTCTGGCAGTGTAGCTATACCATGTTGTTGTACCATGTTGCAAAAGACATTGCCCATGTTTGCAGCTGAGTGATTTTCTCAGCTTGTTTCCTGTGTGTGAAAGTTTGGGGGCCCATAGGCCTCACTTCATTTTGAAATCTCTTGTCCATTTCAGTCCAAACTGGTACAGTTTCTATAAAAGATATGTGTCTTTTCTATACATTGAATTATAACCCACTCCTTAGACAAAAAGACATGTGCCCCTCTGCTTTAGTTTGTGAATCAGGGTTCCATGGGAGAAATCATTTGACATCCTTAGGTGCCCTTTATTCAAGCAGAGATCAAAGCAATATACCACTAAATTTTTTTTTATTTCTTCACAAAGCGTCTTCTAGGAAGATCTTTGACTTAATATTGACCCCAAAGCCACATTTTACAGGCAGCACCTTGGATTTAATTTTGGCTCTGCTTCCATTTCCTAATTTGGAGACTGTGCCAGCTGGAGAAGCTGGGAAGGAGACATAGTTTTATTTTCTAACCTGGCATGTCCTAAGTTAAAAATAGTTCCTGTAAATTCTGCTTGAATATGAAACAGCTCCTTTTTTGCTTGATTTCTCTCACTTTATAATAGACAATTAAAAGAGGTCAGTTAAAATTTCCAATATTCTCCCTGGAAACATCATTAGCCATATCCACTCAAAGGCTAGGCTTCTTGTGGGCTGCTCACAGCCACTATCTGAGTGTGGTAGGATACTAAGGTAGGCGCCTCCATACAGTAACAAGTACATTTAAAATAAAAGAGTTTGGAAACTACAACCGTTGTATTTTGTTTATGATGCTTTGAATTGTGATTTTGGGCAGAGCAGTGCTTCTGCTCCACGTATTTTTGTCTGGGATCAATCTCTCAGCTGGTAACTGGGCTGGTAACTGGGCTGGGCAAAAAGATCCAAAAAGGCTTTGTCTGCATGTTTGTCATCACCATGATTATTCATGTGGATTTTCTTTCTTTATGTGGCTGAAGTGATTTTCTTCATGGTCATCTCAGGGCATTTAGACTTCTTTCATGGCATCTCATTTCCAAAAACAACAACAACAAAAAGAAACAAACAAACAAAGCCTTCTGAGCAAATGAAAAAAGCCTTATGAGCAAATGACATGGAAAGAAATTGCATGATCTAAACCTCAGTCTCATATGTTACATGTAATCATTTCTGTTGTTCTTTTGACCAAAGCAGGTAACATGCCCAGCACAGATTTCTGCAGAGCAGAAATAAACTCCACATTTGATGGGGGCATGTGTGGCAACCATGAAAGTGAATTACTCGGCTGTTCAGCAACAGGGAGAGTGACTGGTTGACATCTCCAGCTGTTGCACTCTGACTGTACCACCATAATACACTCAAAGACCACACTTCCTGCTCTCTCAGCCAATGACTGAGAGTGGCAGGAACACAGAGGCAGGCTCATCTTACAAGATGCAGAAATTCTTTAACATGCTACTTTGTCCTGAGAGGTTCCCAAGAGCCTGGCATAATCTTTCTAGGAACTGTGCTGCCATCTAAGACAACCTATTCTGCCTTCCTTCCTTCCCTGTCTTCACAGAGGTAAGGCTTGCCTCATGGTCAGAAAGCTCTCTGCACCTTATCTTCCTTTCTCCCCTGTTCCTCTAATGGGTGTTTTCCCCAATTAATGTCTTGCACCTCTAATCTTGGTATCTCCTTCTCAGGGGACCCAGACTAACCCAGCCTGAAAAGGCAAACAGAGCACGTGGGATGAGACCCTGTTGTGGTTTGAACACTAAGAGAACCGAAGGATTTACCTGAAACCTCACAGTCAACATACCCTGCCAATATAGAGAGCTATCAGAGAAGAAGTCAGTAACAGCAGAAAAGACCCATTAATCTACCTAATTCTTCATTCGTAAACATGAATAAACAGCCAAAACCCACCAGACACTTAAAGTGGAGCAGCATCAGAAAGGCAAGGCCTATGTTAAACAAGACAAAATACTGTTTTCCAGAGGAAGTGGAGATGAGAACTTTCATCAGAATTTTTCTTTCCTGTGTACTGTTTTTGAAAAAATTAAGGATATACTTCTATAAACTGAAAAATAAATTAAGAAAAGCAGGGATAAATATTATGGGGGAAAAATATCTAGATCCTTTAGAGTGGCCTAGAAGGCGTTCTGCAGGAAGGGCCTGGATTCATTTTCCAGTCCTCAACCTCAGGGCTGGTCTCTACACATCCTGGTGCATGACCCTCATTAAGAGCTTACAGTTTTCTCCAAGATCAGGGCTGTTCTGAGTCTCAATGTCCCAGCTCCTCTCTCACTGCACACATGCTCAGATATGTATGTCTTGAAGTTGGAATTAGATAAACACTACACTCACTGAACTCCGTTTCTTCTTCTTCATCTTTTCCTCTCTTCTGGATATTGTAGAAATTTCTATACAAGCCAGAATTCAAGAGACTACAGTATTCATTTATATTATATAACATTTTGTCTGAGACTTTAAAAATTGAACGTCATGATGTGTTCTCATGAACTGAAACTGTGAAGATTCAGTCTCTTCATCAGTAATAGTTTTATTTTATGTGTAAAAAAGCAGATCAATGTGACTTCACAGATATTCAGCATTTGGGTTATATAATCTTTTGTTTTTAACATTTTCTTATACTTCTTATCTCCATGGCATAAAAGTTGCCCTCCTGAATCAAGTTCCATCTACCATTTCCAGAATAGTTAATATTTTTTTCTGGTTCTTAGTAATACGTTGGTTAGTTGGTTTATGTTCCTAATGTTGGAAGGGAAACAATGTAAGCTTTTTATTTTGACTATAAAAGGAAGTTAACTAGAGAAATGGAAATGAAGAAATTATTCTAAGTCAAAAATAGGACAGTGGCTAATATTATTAGTATGGCTTTAAGTCCTATCAAATGAAAATGTTCTCTAGGTATGTATTATAAAATGATGGGCATAACATGAGGAAGTTACAGAGTGGTAAGCTGGACAGCTAGAAGGTATTTGAGTTTTATTACTTTCCCCTTAAAAACTGGAAAAGTACCAAGACAGGCCATTAAAACAGGCAGAGTGAGAGAAATAAACCATTGTCTTTATAGAAAGGCACATATTACTTTTATGAATATTATTTTTAAAGCTGAAAGTAAAGAACATCAAAAAGAAATTAGTAAAGACCATCTGGACTTGGCAGAAGCCTAGGGATGTGCCTTCCTTCCATCTGAGGTGAGGTTCCATTCTCCAGGAACGATAGCTGTCAGTCTTACCTTTCTGGCTCTTTGTGTCCATCTGTCATATGGAGTCAGGACTAGAAAATCGCCCAGGATCCTTGCAGTCCACAGTTTAAGCACATTATGAAAACTCCAGTTGGGCTGAATCATTTCCTTTCATTTATTTCAAAGCTATAGTTAGATTCATGTAGGTGCCATTTGAAAGTGCAGTCTATTCAACCCACACATACGAAATCAGCAGAGTGCCTCTAGCAACCACACTGCAGTAGCCATACTGTCCACAACCTCAATTCAAATTCCAATGTTATACTCAGACAAAAAGTGCTCTTCTTTTTTGCACTTAAATATAAGAGCAAACTGGTAGAGTGGAAAAGAACATGTTTATAATGCTAAAAATCCTCTTATTGTTCTAATTAGCATATATACATAAACATGAATTCATCTCAATGTATGACACCTAATTTATAAGTAAAAATGCTATGTGAAAATTCCAAATATGTATTCAAGTGAAATGTTTTACATATTGATACCTTTTATTGTTTTTTAATTATTCATGTATAAGTGATTTGGAAAATGATTTGGAAAACATTCAGCATCTTAATGGAAATAAATACCAGAGTTTTGCCTACAGGGATGATTTTATATTGAGAGAGAAAGAGAGAGGAAGGAAAGGGGAAGGAAGAGAAGGGGAGAGGAGGAGAAAGGATGTGAGAGGAGGCAAGGAAATGGGAGGGAAAACTGCAGTGCCTGAAGCAAGTCTGTCATGACTCTTATTCCCACATAATTTTAAAAAGCACTAACAATTGTGCTTTGTTATTCAATAACATAATTACTTTACAATTACCTGTCTTCTAATTTTATCTTGAAAGAGTGTGTAACTAAAAGAAACAAGGGTGGCATTGGTGAAAATAACACAAAAATATACATTTTTAATATATTACATACATTTGAAGTCAAAGAAGTGAAAATGCTTAAGAAATCTGTTTATGCACCAAAATCTATGTGCATGAGAGCACATGTAAAAAATAAGGCTATGATTCCAAGTTGTGGTTTAACAACCAGAATTTTATAAGGTTATTAAGTTGTACCACAGTATCTATTAAGTACTGACCTTTGCCACAGAAACTTGGCATGGACTGTTTTCTTTAGGAAACAGATACAGCAAGAGAGCCTCTGGTTTCTGTTAGATTTATACAGAATATTGAGCTGATCAAGCCATGTTTATGGTAACTGTCCAAATATAGACTATAAAAAAACATGATAAATTAACCTTAAAGTGGTAAGTCTGAGTGATATTAAGTGGCCTGAAAATTTAATTTCAATTAAACCATTCTTAATGAACTTCCTGGTGATTAGGCAATTCTTTGCTTTGTTTACCCTATTAGTGTAAGAAAACTAGGAAAATGTCATAATGATACAGGAAATACCAAACATACCATAAAAGAAGACATGGACTCTGGATGAGATTTGATGTGTGATATCATTTTTCTGCTTTAAATTTTTCAACAGTAAACTTGGCATCTGTCCAATACTTATGATTTTTTTTTTATGTATGTGCAAAATCATTCCATTCTCACAAGTATCTGATGAGGCAGCCAGCATTATTATCTCCATCTTTTATATAAAAACACTGTGATACGGAGAGGTAAACAACTTGTCACTAGTCACACGGCTTCCCAGTGGCTTTGCCTGAAATACCTTTCATAACACACAAGGCCCATTCTGATGTGGTCTCTGGTACATATATAATTTTTCTGGTATATATATGTGGCCTCTGGTCTCCTCAAGAGCCAGGCTTCCTTTCTCTTAAAACCCTGCCTGTCACCATGCTAAATTTCTTCAGTTCTTTGAACAAATGATACCCTACTGGAGAATAATAAATTATTTCTGCCTTCATCTTGCAATGGTTATAATAATATTGAATAATTGTTCGATATGAAATAATACCAGATGGATTTGTCTTTCTATATAGCAACTTTCAATTAATAGGTCAGTATTTATTATGTTGTCCCCTCCTTACCATGCTGAGATATAATAGTATAAAATTAATGAATTAGAACATATTTAGAAAAAATATAGAAAAAGGAATATTTCCATTTTCTTGAGTGAGTGGCAAATAACTCTACAAATCCAAAGTGTGAAAGAAAGCATTAATTGATATTTATCAAGCCTCTAGACATCAAAAGAAAGTTTAGTGTATGGCAGAAGAATTAAAAGACTAACTGGATCTCTGGAAGCAAAATATATCCTAGCAATTCCCAGACATAATTTATCATGAGTGTCATGCATGACTTATAGAAATGTTAATAGAATAAACTGATTTCCGATTGCACCAGCAAGCCTACTTACAGAATCAGATACCTTTAAATGTTTTAATATCTATGGCTGATATATGTCAACTTCCTAGAAACAATTTCAAGTTAGCAAGTATTTGTATGAAAGACCTCTATATTCTAGGATAATATGTCCAAAAAAGGGAGCCAGTACTCTGAGAAAGACAATATTCAAGAACAGCTGCACATAATAATAAATCCTCACCAATGTGCTACATCAATTATTTTGGCTTAACTGAGTCATCTTCCTCTAACTCCCGAAAATGAAGAGATATTGGCAGTGACTAGAATGACTCATAACCACAATAACACATTTCACAAACATTCTCAAGAGCTTGAGCCACAATTCATAAGATAACAGCTATTAACATGTAAACCAAGAGTCCCTTATAACAGAGAAGCCAGATTGTAAAAAGAAGTTGAATTATACAACATTATACTGGTCAATACATAAATGTTTACAAGTATCACTTTGGCTGTTTAGTTAATCATTGCTTTAGTTTCAAGATGAGTCTTTCACTTTTCAATCTCAAATTAGGAAATCCTTTCATTCTCTTTTATTCTTTTCTGAAATATCCTTTTAAAAGGGTTTTCCTAGTGGTTTAAATTCTGATATTTTATATATTTCTTGGGTTTGCAGTCTTAAATATTTGAAAACATTACTCTACACTTGGTCTAAGAATTTTCCACCTAAGAAGGAAATATTTATTTCAATTTAAAATAATTCTTTAGAATCCAATGACATGGAGGATTATTGTCACATGGGAGGAATCAAGACCTCTGTCTAATACATCAAATCTATAGTCACCATATTTTCTTCAAACTATCTAAATTATTATGTATTGTAAAACATTTAAAATCAAATAAATCTGTAATGAATTAACATTTTTTTCCATTTTTTTGGATATAAGAAGTTTTTATTTGAAAAAATAACATTGCAATAAATCAAATCAAATATGGGCTTTCCATACAATATCACATTTTTAATTTTTAAAATCAAATTTTTAATTTCAAAAACTTATAGTTTTATATATACATAATATTAAAGTTATAAATGAAAAAGTCTGTTCAGATTATAAAATGGGTAGGATAGAACCAATATACAACCTAGTATATAATATTAATTCCTACATATGGGCTTCTCTACATATAGTCCATTTCTCCTTCCAAATCCAAATCTGTCAAGCATGTATCCTGGGAGGCTGATTGATATAGATGACACAAATGGTTTTCTTTACCTCATGGCTTCCCCAGTAGTAGGCACTGGCAGGAGAATAGTGGAGGGAAAATATGGTAATCTGAATGACGTTCCCTCAAAAATGTCCATATTCAAATCCTCAGAATATATGAATGTTACCTTACATGGCAAAGGGGACTTCATAGCTATGATTAAGTTAAGGGTTTTTGATATGGAGAAATTATTCTGCATTATCTAGTGAGCACAATCTAGTCATAAGTTTCCTTACAAGAGGGAGGTAGGAGGGTCAGAGTCAGAGAAAGAGTGAGAAAGAAGGTGTTGTGAGGACAGAAGCAGAAGTCACAGTCAGGGAGAGACATGAAGATGCTACACTTCTGGCTTTGGAGATAGAGGAAGGGAGCACAAGCCAAAGAATGCAGGTGTCCTCTAGAAGCTGGAAAAGGCAAGGAAGCAGATTGGCTCCTGTAGTCTCCAGAAGGAGCACAGCCCTGCGACACCTTGACTTTTAGCCCAGCGAGACCCATGGGGGAGTTTTGACCATCAAGAACTGTAAAGTAATAAACGTATATTGCTGTCAGCCACTAAGTTTGTGAATATTTATTACAGCAATACCAGGAAACTAATACATAAACACAGGGTAGTCCTTCCCTCAGCCCCTTGTCTGCAGATTAACCATGAGCTGAACGAGTTCCTCTACTGAAGGCCAGCTCTGGTCAAGTGGCCCTCTCCATGCAGCTAGCTTCTCTGGGATCTGCAATCACTCTATCCCTCCATTTTTAGGCCTTAGGGCCACCTGCACTTGTTAGTTTCTAATTAATCCCTTGTTAGTTTCATGAATCCCTGCCCAAACCTATGTAAGTAAGCAAACTGTCTAATTACCTGAATTTCAGTGTGATATGTTTCCTGCTGAGACTCTGAGACCCTGCAATATGCAACTAAGTCTTGAATAGAAAGTCACTCAAAGTTAGTCCTGCCAAGTATTCCTCTATGTACTTTATTTATGTGTGCATTATGTCACACTTTTCATGGGATTCCATATTCATCATTTAAAAATCCATTCATTTAACATACATTTTTGATTGCCAACTATGTGCCAGCCTTCATGCTGGTTAGTGGACATACAATGTTGAACAAAAGTGGGCAAGGAATTGCCCTAATACAGCTTACAATTTTATAGAGGAAGGCAGACATTAATAAATGAATCACAAAATAAATGTAATATTGTATAAGTGCAATGAAAGAGAAGTGCTATAAGAACTTAGAAAGAATTTTCCTAGCCAGGAAGGCCAGGTAAGACTTATGTGAGGAAGTAACATGTAATTGAAAAGCTTAGGATAAAGAAGAGGAGGAGGAGGAAGGGCCACATCAGGCAAGGCGAAAATATGTGCCAGATCACTATAGCAGGAAGGAACATGGTGAGTATCAGGTCATGAAAAACAGACTGCAGTGGATGGGACAGACAGTGAGGCAGATATAAGACTGGAAAATGTGAAGAGGCCAGACTATCAATGTTTATCTTAATGAGTTTTCTGTTAAGTGTATATGTAATGGGAGTGGGGCAGATGGGTAGCAGTTTGATGTGTTTGATAAGGTCTGCTTTATGTTTTCAAAATATTATTCTGAAAGAAAAGTAGAAAACTCTTTGAAAGTAAATAGAGTACATTCATTTATACATTCATTTAGTCATCAACAAACATAACTGAGATTTTCTTAAGTAATAAGCACTCTTGTAGTTATTGGTAATATAAGGAGGAACTAGGCTGTCAAGAGTCCAGCCTTATAAAGCTGAAATTCTAATGAAGGAGACAGACACTTTGACAAGTATGTATTGAGTAGATACTACATATCAGTGAGTGCTCTAGGTACTCAGGATAAATCAGTGATCAACACAACAGAAAACCCTGCCCTCACTGAGTGAACATTCTAGTAACAATAAATGAATACAGGTTATAATATGATGTAGTAATAGAATTTCATGTAGAGAGAAGTGTTACAAAGGAAAATATTATAAGGTGTACTTATAAGGGTGGACATAGAGGATGTGCTGGGGTAGAAAAGATAGCAGGTGATTACACCATCTGAATAAAATAGAGAGTACCTGGAACAATAGTTTGAATGCCATGAACATAGAGTGAAGCAGTTTGATTCAATAAATATTTGGAGGAATTTTTGCTGAGTTGGCAGCGGCTCTGGTATGACAGTGAATAAATAGGAGGTTTTGAATATGACTGCTAGATGTTTGGAGCAATGCCATTCACAAAGATAGAGAATACTGGAAAAAGGTTAGGTTTGCATGAGAACATCATGTGTTTATTTTTATATGTGTTTAATTTGCACAACCTAGTTTTATACACAGATTTATTGTTTGGAAAATAGATCTGGTCCAGAGAGATGAATTTGTGAATGTTCTCATTTAAATAGTAATGAATCCAGAAGAATAAAGATCATCAGTGGAGAAGCTATACATTTAAAGAGATTTTTATCTTGAGTAACTACACATGTAATTTTGAAATAAAGAAGAACAAATTTCCTAAGAAACCAGGAAGGTACAGTCACAGAAGGAGAGAACAGTGTCATGAAATTCCTGAGAAGAGAGGGCTATAAATCTATCTGTCCTTCTGGGATAGTGGTTCATTGAAGATAAGTTTAGGTAATTCATTTTCATATCATTCCCCAGCTGCAGACACATGGCATAGGGGTATGCACATAGAAGATATTTTTTAAAAAAACAATTATTTAAATACACGTCACTATGTCTATTTACTCTGATTGGTGCCTACACAGGAATGCTTTCATTCTGGTAGTACCAAAGTGGCTTGCATGTGGCATGCATGTGGCAGGCTCTCTCTTACTTCCTTTCTGCATTTTTCTATTTACAGAGTGAAAAATAAAATAAATTTAAGCAACATTAAATATTTATAAAAATAAACATCCAGCAAGTCATTAAATGAAGTAATCATTTTTGTTGTAAATAATTTGCTGCTTTCTAAGACAGTAAATGCAATGAACTGAATATTTGTGACCCCTCCAAAATGTATATACATATAAATTCTACCTCCCAACGTAACATATTAAGAGGTGAGGACTTTGGGAGGTAATTAGGACATGAGGGTGGAGCCCTCCTGGTAGATCAATACTCTTATAAAAGGGACCACAGAGAGAGCTTGCACTCTCTTTCTACCAGATAAAGATACAACAAGAAGTCAGTAGTCTGTAACCAGAAAAGGACCTTTGCCAGAATTCAATTATGCTGACATTCTGATCTCGGATTTTCAGCCTACCTGCCTCCAGAACTATGAGAAATAAACTTCTGTTGTTTAAACCCAAAGTGACTAAAACAGCAATACAGAGACACTTTAATAATAGTAAAGAGGCTTCCCCAATCACCATTCCAGAATTGGGAACAAGCTAAAATTGCAATAAAGGCAGACAGTCCTTATGGTTCTTAAATGTATGCTTTAGAATTGCTCTAAATTCCCACCAGATTAGATAAAGGTCTACCCTATAATGCTAATGTTATAACTACATCTCTGAATACTCTTTAAATCGAAATATCTATTTCCCCATCTGTTTTCATGAATTATTATGATAAAAATTAAATCTGTAATCTAGACCTATGAATGACATACATTTTGTTCACATAGTTAAAAGAATGAAAAAGTAAAAGAGGAAAGCAGCATTAATTCCCACATACAGATGACAGAAAGGAGTGAGAATTTGGGCAGTAAATCTCTATTTGAATGAATTAATTGCTTTATTTACCCAGAGGTAAGTCAGTTAGATAGCTTTTTCAAAGAGCAGAAACAAAATTAGGTATAAGATTCCTGTCAAGTGCATCTTCAGCCAATTCCTTGATGTTTCCATGAGATATTTTGCAACCTACTTTCTTGTTTTAATTTTATTTTGTTGCTCAGAATCTCAGATCAGATTTAATGAAGATTTGTATGTGCTATTTATAGAAAGAAACGGCGAACCAATTTTTATAAACATTCCATCAATAGCCAGCCTAAGTTACCCTAAGGGCTGAGAAATATGAGATTTTTTTGTGTCCATATGGGGAACTGAATGGCCCTAATCAGAAATGGTTTCATCAGACTAAAATTTAAATTGGCTAGAAGGGATAAAATTGGTAAGGTCGTAGGCCAATTCTGTGCATTTTCAGTCCACATATTTCAAACTGTAGTAAATAAAGAGGTCTTTAAGCTGGTGCTTGTATCAAGTAAAGAGCAAGATTGTTAGTTAATTAAAAAAAAATGCTGGCTGCTTATAACTCAGAGTGTTCAAAATACATAACGAGGATTTGTTTTGAGCAGGTATAGTAAGACATACAGACACAAAAACTATTGCATGAAGGAAGAAGTTGTTATTACAGTCACAGTCTCCTAGAAACAGGTGGCACGGCACACCTGCAGAGCCACACAGGGAAGCACTGGAGGGAGATGAGCAAGTGAAGAGAGAAGGGGACTTTGTGGGAGAAGCCTTTATTGTGGTTCCTAGTTTTCAAGGGAAGGAATGGACAGAGCAGGCTAACACATGTTAAAATTTAAGACTGGATGACTTGAATGATTTCTGTAGAAGTCTGAGAAAAGGAGATGGGTGGGGGTGTGAATTCAGGGTGGATTGGCTTGCATATCAAAGGTATATTGGCAGGCAAGTTGGTTGTTATCTCTAAGAAGTAGTTAATCCTGGGAGAGGCAATTCTCTGTGTTTGCCAGGCTTCAAATGCCAGAGCACCAGGGATACAGAAAATGAGAAAATATACTTAAGACATAGAGATAAGAAAGAAAAGGAAGATCCTGTTTGCTCCATACCCAAGAAAATATACTTTGGCATAAAATCCAAAAACTGGGATGAAGAATAAAGGCACATCAGAATGTCCATAGCTGGCCATTTGTGGCTCATGCCTGTAATCCCAGCACTTTGGGGGGCTCATGTGGGAGAATCACTTGGACCCAAGAGCCTGGCCAACATGGTGAAACCTCCCCACATCTACAAAAAATGCAAAAATTAGCCAGGTGTGGTGGCATGCACCTGTAGTCCCAGCCACTCGGGAGGCTGAGGTGGGAGGACTACTTGAGCCCAGGGAGGTGGAGGATGCAGTGAGCCGAGATCACGCCACTGTACTTCAACCTGTCCAACCTGGGTGACACAGAGAGACCCTGTCTCAAAAAAAGAAAAGAAAAGAAAGAAAGAAAAGAAAAGAAAGCAAAAGAGAATGCCCATATCTGAGAAAGCATTTTCTGTGGCTACCTTCTCTCCTAAATTTTGTTCCTTGATTTCCATCCATATTGGTGACCCCAAACTCTAATCTTTGTCTCTTCAGCCCAGCAAGAATGCACTGCCAAGCTTAAACATTGTCCCCCCTGCCCCCAGAAACTATAAAATACTTCCAGGAGAAAATTCATAATAAATATGAAGCTCACCTCATGCACTTCAAACTCTTTCAAGGATTACAGCCCGGGTTTTCTGTTTGATTATCCTTTGAAGTCGAACAATTATTTTCTTTTGGTGTTATTTTCTTGTCCAGCTTTCATAATTTGCTATCATGCATAAGTTAGTTCATTTTGACTTCTCATCTTCCTTTTTGAAAGACATTTTTCACTGGATATGATATTCTAGGTTATTTTCTTTCAATACTTTGCAGATATTATTCCAGCATTTTCTGCTTTCATTGTTTCATTGGAGTAGTCAGTTGTTGAGACAATTATTACTTCTTTGAAAATAGTCTTTTTTTCTTCCACTTCTTTTAATGTCTATTCTTTCTCTTTTCTCCCCAGGGGTTTTACTATGAAGTGCTAAGGTATGGATTTCTTTTTACTTATATTTCTTCTGATCCTTTAGGTCTTCTTGAATCTGTATCCTGAAATCTTTCTTCATTTTTAGCAATTACCTTCTCAAATATTCATTCTGTCATTTTCTCTCCTCTCCTCCTAGAACTCCAGTTACATGCATGTTAGACCTCTCTGCAACTCTTACTCTCTTTCTTTTCTCTATTTTCCATTATTTTGTCTCCCTGTACTTCATTCTAGCAATTTTCTTCAGTTTCATGCTTCAGCAATTTCTAACCTGTTATTAACTTTATCAATTAAATTATTTCTTTTGGTTATTTCATTTTTTTAGTTCTATAATATGTATTTGTTTCACATTGTATTTTTTTGTTCTCTACTGAAATTCTCAGATTTGTCTTTTAAGGCCTTTTTCATATTAAGCTAGTTATTTTAAAGTCTGTAACTGATAATTACATTATCTGAATCCTCTGTGTCATTCTTTATGATTGTATTTGTTTCTCTTGATTTTCTAACACGATGGCTTCTTTCCTTACAGGCCTCATATTTTTTTCATTAAATGCCTGATACTGTATATAATTAATTATAAAAGTAATTTTTGAATCCCAGGTCAATGTTTTCTTCCTTCTTGAGAAGATTTATATTTGCATCTGACAGATGTTCAAGGGTCCTAGTAATCTGGAATCACACAATCGATTTCAAAAATTGAGATGTTTGAATGGTGAGATTTAGTGCTCCTGTGGGCTGGTATATTTCCACTTTTCCTCTAAATAATAGACATATCAAGGGGTAAAGCTGTTTCAAATATTATGCTCATCTATCTATTCTTTGTTCTTCTCTAGACCTTAATTCTGTTGTCTTTCTGGATTTCTTGTGCTTCAAGCAGCTATTTTAAATATGTTTTATTAGTTTTTATAGCTGTTCTCTGTGGATGGACTAGTTTGATTTGCCAAGTAATAACTGGAATTATGGGGTATGTTCATTCTCATGGCATCCTCAGAGCCAACTATTGATCATTTCCCTGGTACCCAATGTATATTTGAAATGGCCACATTTAGAAGCTGGCAAAATCCTTACAAGGCAAAATCTTGACCTGCAGGGTAAGAGCCATGTAAAAGCCCCTGAAATGCCTTCCCTCTGCTAAGGTAGTGATACAATAATGGGTCATGGAGGAGTGCAGGTATTAATGATCTTCTCAAAGACTTAAATAATATAGCAGTAGTAGCCCCATTCAATTCCCCAGCCTGGTCAGTCCAAAAACTTAATGAATCATGGTAGATAATAGTAGTCTACTGCAAACTTAACCAGTTGGTAGCCCCAGAAGCCACTGCTGTGTTAGATGTGGTGTCTCTTCTAGAGCAAATTAACACAATTTTGTTTACATAGTATGTGGCTATTGATCTAATGAATACTTTGTTTCCCATAACCATTAAAAGAAAAAAATCAGAATCTTCTGCATTCACCTGGGAGAGATGACTACATATATTTCTGGTTTTCCTGAAGACTATATTATTTATCTTGCTCTCTATTAGAATATTGTATGAAAGAACTATCTGGGCATCCAAATGAAAATAATCCATTCAGTAGATAATATATTAATCTACTATACTGATGATATTATGTAATTGGTCCTGATGAACAAGACCTGGTGAGTCCTCTAAATACCTTAATAAGACACATGCATTCTCAAGAATGAGAGGTAAGCACTGCAAGGATTTACAACCCTGGTACATCAGTGAAGCTGAAGCAAAAGATGTTTTGTGCCTTGCACCTCATGTAACTAAGAAGGAAGCAGAACACTCTTTGAGATTTGGAGACAGCATATATTGCAGTTGGAAATACTGACCTAACCTGTTTGTTGGATGAGACAGAGGGTCCTGACTTTGTGTGGGCCCAGAACAGGGCTCTGCCATTTAGGGCACATGACTTGAAGGTCCCATGGTAATACATGTATCTGAGGTGGAAAAAGTACCATGTGGAGGCTCTGGCAAATCCTAATACAAGATCTATAATACAATCACTTGGATCCTGTAGCAAAACCATGCCATCCACAGTAGATAACTATACATTATTTTAAAAATAGCTTTTGTTTTGCTAATGATCTCTGATAGAAGCTGAACTGACCAAAGGACATCAAGCAACCATGCAGCCAGGACTACTCATTATGACGTAGGTATTATCAAACCCTCCAAATCACAAGGTCAGGGATGGGGAGACACTGTGCAACAATCTTTCATGATACGGAAATGATATATCTAGAATTACGATTAATTCTAGAGGGCATAAGTAAGATGTAACACAGGAGGCCAGGGCCCACCGTGTTTTTACCATTCTCTCACTGATGCTTCTCTCAGCTCATGGCCCTAAGGGAGTTTCCCTCTGATGAGCTTACAGAGGAGGAAAGAGCCCAATCTTAGCTCATGGATGTGTCTGCTTGGTATGTGAGTGCAAGCCAAAAATGAACTGCTCTTGGACAAAACCCCCATTTAGGAGTGGCCTGAAGGACCACAGTGAAGAAACTACCTTCCAAAGGGTTGAATTTGGACAGTAAATCAGGTCATCAACTTTATTTGGAGAAATAAGTGGCCAAGGTATACTCAGATTCATGGGCAATGGCAAATGCCTTAGACAGTTGAACAGAAACCTGGAAGGAATAGTATTGAAAGACTGGGGAGAGACATGGATAGAACTATGGGAGTGGGTACAAAATGTGAGTGTTTTTCCATGAGAGACTATCATAAGAAGAAGAGTCACCAAACAAACAAGTTGATAGAATTAGTTTGCCAGCCCTATGCCCCTCGTTACTCTTTTTTTGAAGAGTAGAGAGAACTTACACAATAAATTATGTCAATAATAATCTTCACCTCACATTCTGACCTATGCCAGGGTAGATAAAACCACCCAACTGTCAAATAAAGATGAAAGACTACTTCTCTTGGACTAAAATTTGAGGAGTAAAATAATTCTCCAAGAATTTGGGGCCATCAGCCTTCCTTCAAATGGGCTCAAAATTTATACACACATTGTTTGTATATGGAAGAATCCAAAAATAAATGTCAAAAAATTCACTGTATGTAATCCAGGTTAGTAATAGTTCCATATGCCTCAGTCCTTTTAAATACAAAAATAAATTCTCTCTGCAACGATGTATGCTCAATCAAGGTCTAATATTTTTTCCACATTAAAAACCTGATGACTATGAATTCATGATCTCCAATAACAAAACACACGAATAAACAAGATGTCATGTGTGAGAAACAATAAGCGACATAACTAGACATTCTAGGATATTATATATTTGAAGTATCTCATGCAAAATAATTAAACATAGATGTTTAAAATATTTAAATTAACTAAAGAGGCAACACAAATAAGCAAAGAATACAAGACTATGAATAAATAATGAAGATTTAAAAATATACCTTCCCTCTCAAAACCAGGACTTTGGAATATCTCCATTTCTGTCATATTCAAAACCAATGGAATTAAAATAAAAATGAATGTGGATGTCAACAAACCAATCCTGATGTTTATATGTAAAAGTAAAAGAAGCAGAATAGCCAGAAGCAGAATACTGAAGAAGAACTAAGCCAGAGGATTGACACTATCTGACTCACCTAACTTCCAGACTTGCTTACTATAAAGCAATAGTAATCAAGACAGTGTGGTAATGGCAAGAGAATACACAAATAGATCAATGAAACTGCTTACAGGGCCTCAAAATAGACTCACACAAATACAGTCAACCAATCTTTGACAAAGGAGCAAAAGTCATCTAATGGAGAAAGTTAGTCTTTCAGCAAATAGTGCTGCAAAAACTGGACATCCACATGGAAAAAAAATAATAAATAAATAAGAATCTAGACACTGACTTTACAACCTTCACAGAATTGACTTGAAATGAATCAATTACCAAAATGTAAAATGTGAAATTAAAAAACCTTCTGGAAGATAACATAGGAGAAAAACTAGATGATCTTGAGTTTGGCAGTGAGATTTTAGATAAAACACCAAAGAACAGGATCTAGGAAAGAACACTGGATAAGTTGGATTTTATTAAAATTAAAAAATTCTGTTCAATAAAAGTCACATAAAGAAAATGAAAAGACAAGCCACAGACTGAGATAAATATTTACAAAACACTTACCTCATAAAGAACTTGTATTCAAAATATATAAAGAATGCTTAAAATTCAACAATAAGGAACCAAATGACCCAATTAAAAAGTGTTCAAATATCTGAACAGATCCCCATGAAGAAGATATGCTGATGGAAAATAAATATATAAAAAGATACTTCAACTCATATTATCAATGAATTTTAAATTAAAATAAAAATGAGATACCACTACAAATCTATTAGAATAGCCAAAATTTAAAACATTGACACCAAATGTTAGTGAGGATGTGGAGCAACAGAAACTCTCATTTGTTGCTTTTGGAGATACAAAATGGTACATCCATCGTGGAAGAGACAATTTTGCAGTTTCTTACAAAGCTAAATATAATCTTGCTATACAATCCAAAAATTGTGCTTCTTGGTATTTACCGAAAACATATTCACACAAAAAGCTGTGCATGAATGTTTAACACAGCTTTACTCATAATTGCCAAAATGTGGATGCAAACAAGATGTCCTTCAATAGGTGAGTAAATAAACAGTCCACGCAATTTACATCCACACAATGGAATATTAATTATTTAGTGACAAAAGGAGATGAGCTGTCAAGCCATGAAACAACAAGGAGGAACCTTAAATACATATTGGCAAGCCAGTCAAACAAAATGCCCTCTGTGATTATAAGACATTTTGTAAAAAGCAAAACTACAGAAACATTAGATCGGTGGCTGCCAAAGGTTTGGGGAGAGGGCAGTGAGGAATGGAGAAGGATAAATAGAGAAGAAGGATTTTTTAGGGCAGTAAAATTATTCTGTATGATTCTATAACAGTGGACATATAACATTAGGAATTTGTCAAAATCCATAGAACTGTATAACACAAAGGGTAAACCCCAATGTAAACTATGGACTATCGTTAGTCATTGTTGGTTCATCAATTGCAGCAAATATAACATATCAAGGCAAGATGTTAATAATAGGGGAAATTGTAGACAGAAGGAGAGGAAATCTATGGGAATTCTGTATACTTTCTGCTCAATTATTCTGTAAACTCAAAACTGTGCTAAAGATTGTCTTTTAATTAAAAATTAATTAGGAATTAATTAATTTGAAATAATATCAATGGATAATTAAATATCAGATTAGATATAGCTGAAAATAAAATTAGTGAACTACAAAATAGATCTTTAAAATTACAGACCATAGCAGAAAGATATAACACTATAAAAATATTATAATAGTTGATTTAAGAGATAACATAGCATGATAAAATCTGCCATATGCATTCTATTTAAGTGTAAGCAAACAGAATAGTGTTACTGCATTAGTTGCAATACTTGAAAATATATTATCTAACAAATTCCTAGAATTGATCAAATATATGAATCTAATGAATGAAACTTTAAAACTGCCTTTAATAAAGAAAAGAGATGATAATGATATTAGAGCAGCCTCATAATTATCAACAATGCAGACCAGGTGGCCATCATGTAATGGCTTAAAAACTGAATTAATATAATTCTCAATATTAGAAAAAATATCAGTGTATATTTGCCTATAAGAAAACTAATCAAGATTTTTATACACAAAATTAAAATATCACTGACATAAATAAATAAGCAGTTCAACTGAAACTTTTAGCTAGTTAGCAAAATACCAAAAATGCTAATTGCAGAAATAATGTTCCTTTTAATAATGAGGCATAAAAAAATTAGGCAATTTAGAAAAGCTAATGTCAATTTGAAAGGAAAAAATCTTACGGGATATTTTGTGAGCTTAAATAACTTTAAGCAAAAAAATGTACACCTCAAGATTTAGTCTAAAAACAGTTAAAAGACAATAAAACATATACTTGAATATGATTTAGTGTCAAACAATATAGAAAATGAAAATGATTATTATAATAATCTTGAAGCACTATAAAGTTTTAAAAAATTTATGTGGAGAAATTTAACAATCAAGTAAAACCAAACTTGAAAAAGGACTAATGAAATTGATACAGCCTTGTGTTAAATGTATCTCTACCTAAGCAAAATAAATATTGGCTCTTCAGTTTATTCTGTCATAAATTCTAATGGAAAACTGTGAATATATACACCGTGACCAAAGGAAGCACAAACTTAGCACAGAAATTGGGATATGAGAAATGAGCAAAGACTTATATAAAGGCAAGAGACTCTAACATAGGTTATAGTTATTAAAAATGTGTAGGAAATTTGAAATGTGGGTGAAAAGATTTTATTTAGGGCTTTAAATCCAACAGATCCCTTGAGAAAAATCATCATTACAGGAAAGAAATGAAAAAAATATATAAATAGTTTATAGATCCATACTTTTCTATATTAAAAGAAAATTCACATATATTATGTTAGGATTATAGATTTCTTCTTTTCTTTATATTAGTCTTATAAAGTAAGATAGTAAAGGTAGGGAAATGCAGAAAAATGCAGCCTGCTCTGTGATTTGGAAATGTGAGCTCTGGGTAGGCAAGAAACAAAAATCCAATAACTGCAAGTAACTCAATAATCCAGAGTTTGTGGAAATTTAAAGAAACAATAATTGTAGCAGTTGGAAAGAAAAAATGACTGAGCTGTATTACTATTTATGCTCTCAGAAAACATTATAGCAAAGTCAATAAAATATAAACATAAAGGAAACGAACTGCATTTTAAACAGATGTTGAAGGGAAGCATTTGACTGGGAATGAAATAAATGGCAGACCAAACACTGGAGGAGCTTTACTTTATCAAATCATTTATATGACGTGACAAGGGAGGAGAGTCTATGTTTTAAAAGGGAGGCTAGGATTTCTTAATAAATGCATCATTATGCCAGATACATTAGTTGATTTAATATAAATATCAAATACTTTAAAATATATCTATGTACATGCATATCTGTAATTAACTAGACAGAAAGATCTTTTAGAAAAAGCTCAAAATTAAAGAGCTGTTCTCATAGAATAAAGGTTGTCAATAGGTGATTTTATTAAAAATTTGCATGCAGGAGGCACCTGGGACAGAATGTATTATTTGTAAAATACATATTGCTTTCAATATTTCATATATATGTATGATCTCAGGCTAGAAATAATAAAAATCCTTGTTTGTATATACATGAAAAAATGCAAAATACATAATTTCCTCCTTGTAATCATAAAAGCTTATGAATTTATATTTTCAAAAGTGGAGATGGCGATTTGCAGCGGCAGTGTCACGGTGAAGAAAGTAGTCAAGGAAGTTTATGTTTAAAGAGACAGAACATCACAAGTTGGCTACAAGTCCTCTCTAAAGATAGGGGGTAATAAGGGACAGCAGGATACAACTTGGGAGCAGGGAGAATATTCTATGTTACCCTTATAAGCAAGAGTTCAGAAACAGCCAAGAAAAGGCATACTTCAGCCTAGTATACAGCAAGAGGTCACCTACAGGCATCAGTCCTGAAAAGCAATAAATTTCATTAAAAAATAATAATAAGCCACAGGCTGCTAACTGGGAGAAGAGAACATGGTTAAAAAAAAAAAAAACAACAACAAAGTGTAACTAGTAAAAAAAAAATGTAACTAGATCAGGCCTTTTTAACAATAAATGATTAAGGAGCCCTAATAAACCTAAATAAAACTTGAAAGCAAAGATTGTCTTGGAATTAGTGTATAAGCAAAGATAAACTCATATCTGGATCATACTAAGAATCATGCAATTCACAATATGCTAACAAAAGATGGTAGGTTTAAATTTTATGTAGCATGGGCCAGGCACAGTGGCACACACCTGTAATCTCAGCACATTGGGTGGTGGAGACAGGAGGATATCTTGAGGCTAGGAGTGCAAAACCAGCCTGGGCAATGAAGTGAGACACCTTGCCTTGAAAGAAGAAAAAAAAGAAAGGAAAGAAAGGAAAGACAAGAAAGACAAGAAGAAAGAAAAACAAGAGAAAGAAAGAAAAAGAAAGAAAGAAGAGGAAAGAAAAAGAAGAGAAAGAAAGAAAAAGGAAGAAAGAAAAAGAAGAGAAAGAAAGAAAAAAGAGGAAAGCGAGAAAGCAAGACAGAGAGGGAGGGAGGGAGGGAGGAAGGAAGGGAGGAAGGAAGGAAGGAAGAAAGAAGCAGGAAAGCAAGAAAGCGAGAGAGAGAGGGAGGGAAGGAAGGAGGGAGGGAGGGAGCAAGGAAGGAAGGAAGGGGAAAGAAGAAAGGAAAGAAAGAGAAAGAAAGAAAGAAAGAAAGAAAGAAAGAAAGAAAGAAAGAAAGAAAGAAAGAAAGAGAAAAAAGAAAGAGAAAGAAAGAGGGAGAGAGAAAGAAAGGGAGAGAGAAACAAAGGGAAAGAGAGAGAAGGGGGGAGGAAGGGAGGGAGGGAAGGAAGGAAGGAAAGAAATTTTGTGTAAAATGAAAAACGCACATTTTAAATAGTTAAACTGAAGAATGACCTAATATTAACTTAATGTGTGCACAAACTAATATACACACAAACACCTCTCCCAAAATTTAAAATGTTCTTTCAGGAGTCATAGCAAGATGGTGGAACAAAAAGCTCCACCTTTTGTCCCCCTCACTGGAACACAAAATTTTAACAACTATCTGCACACAGAAAAGCACCATCACCAAGAACCAAAGATCAGGTGAGCAATCACAGTACCTGGTTTTAACTTTATATTGTGGAAAGAGATATTGAAGAGGACAGGAGAAGCTGTCTTGAATAACCAATGCCACCCCTTCCCCATCCCCCTGGCAGCATCTGTGCATCCCAAACTGTCTTTGTACTTAGGGGAACAAGAGCACAGTGCCTGGGGAAACTTTACATTGAACTCAGTGCTACACTGTCACAACAGAGAGGAAAGCAAAGCTGTGCTGGACTCAGCCAGCACTCATGCATGGAGGGAGTCTTTGGACCAGACCTAGCCATAGGGGAATCACCCATCCCAGTGGCTGGAATTTTAGTTTCTTGGCAAGTCTCGTCACTGCGTGCCAACGTGCTCTGGGGTTCTAGGTAAACTTGAAAGGCGGTCTAGGACACAAAGACCGCAATTCCTAGACAACTTCTATTGCTGGGCTGGGCTCAGAGCCAGAGGACTAGGGAGGCGCTTGACCGAGAGATATACCAGCTCTGGTGGCTAGAGGAGTGCTTGCAACAACTCTCCTCCAGCCCTAGGCAATGCAGCTCATAGCAACAAAAGTGACTCCTTCCTTCTGCTTAAGGAAAGGAGAGTGAATAGTAAAGAGGACTTTGTCTTGCATCTTGGATACCAGCTCAGCCACAATAGGAGTGGGCACTGGGCAGAGTCATGAAGCCCGCATTCCAGGACCTAGCTCTTGAACATACCAAAGACCAAAAGGTAACCCACTGCTTTGAAAGAAGGACCCAGTCCTGGCAGGATTAATCACCTGCTGACTAAAGCCTTTGGCTCCTCCAGTGATATCCAGGTAGTATGCCACGGATCTTGGGCTTCAGGGGAGACCCAGCACATTCTCAGCTGTGGTGGCTATGGTGAAAGACAACTTTTTGAGAAAAGGCAGAGGGAAAGGCAAAGGAGACTTTGTCTTGCACCCTAGGTACCAGCTCAGTCATAATTGGGTACAGTGACAACCAGGCTCCCAGGGTCTCTGAGTCCAGGTCTAGACTCTTAGACAGAATTTCTGGACCTGGCCCTGGGCCAGAGGGGTGCCCACTGCTCTGTGGGGTGAGTCCCAGGACTGGCATCATTCACCACAAGCTGACACAAAAGCCCTTGGGCTTTAAGCGAACATCAGCGGATGCCTGGCAGAACACCCCATGGACCAGTGGTGGTGGTGGCCACAGGGAGAGGCTCTTCTACCTGTGGAAAGGGAAGGGAAGAACAGGAAGGTCTGTGTACTGTGGTTTGAGTGCCAACTTAGCCACAGTAGAAGATAACAGGTAAGTTGCTAAGGTGTTTTACTCCAATCCCTGGCTCCCAGATAGCATCTCTGGACATGCCCAGGACCTAAGGGTATTTACCACCCTGAAGGGAAGGGCCCAGAGGAAGGTTCAGTGCTAGGCTGACTTCAGGTCTGACCCAGCACAGTCTCAGTGATAATGTCCAAAGGGGTGCTTGCATCACCATATCCCCAGTTCCAGGTGGCCAGCACAGAGAGAGATACTCCATTTGTCCAGGAGAAAGCAAAAACGAAAACAAAGAATCTCTGCCTCATAATCCACAGATTTCTTCCAGATCTTTTTCAAGATCACCAAGGCAGTACCTCTATGAGTCTGCAAATGCCACAGTATTATTGGGCTTGGGACCCAATCCCTTGCGATACATGGAAAGCCCTTCCAAGAAGGACAGGCACAAAAACCCCATACTGTGACAACTACAATAAATACCTTACTCTTCAATGCCCAGACATTAAAGAATATTAGGCATCAATACCATCCAGAAAAACATGACCTCACCAAATGAATTAAATAAGGCACCAGGAACCAATCCTGAAGAAACAGAGACGTATGATCTTTCAGACAGAGAATTCAAAATAGCTGTGTTGTGGAAACTAAAAGAAATTCAAGACAGTACACAGAAGGAATACAGAATTCTATTCAATGAATTTTAAAAAGAGACTAAAATAATTTAAAAGAATCAAGCAGAAATTCCAAGGTTTAAAAATGCATTTCAAACACTGAAGAACGCATCAAAGTCTCTTAACAGTAGAACTGATCAAGCAGAAGAAATAATTAGTGAGCTTGAAGACAGGTTATTTCAAAATACACAGTCAGAAGAGACCGAAAAATAAATTAATTAATTAATTGATAAATAACAATGAACCATGTCTACAGGATCTAGAAAATCACCTCAGAAGGACAAATCTAAGAGTTATTGGCATTAATAATGAGGTAGAGAAAGAGATAGGGTTAAAAAGTTTATTAACAGGGATAATAACAGAAAAGTACTAAACCTAGAAAAATATGTCAACATCCAGGTACAAGAAGGTGATAGGACACTAAGTAGATTTAACCCAAAGAAGACTACTTCAAGGCATTTAATAATTGAACTCCCAAAGATCAAGGATAAAGAAGGGATCCTAAAAGCAGCAAGAGAGAAGACACAAATAAGGTACAATGGAGCTCTAATATGACTGGCAGCAGACTTTTCAGTGAAAAGCTTTTAGGCCAGGAGAGAATGACATTACAAACTTAAAGAGCTGAAAGAAAAAAAAAAAAAACTTTTACCCTACAACATTATATCTGGCAAAAATGTCCCTTAAATATGAAGAAGAAATAAAGACCTTCTAAGACAAACAAAATTGGAATGATGTCATCAACACCAGACCTGTCCTACAAGAAATCTAAAGGGTGTTCTTCCGTGAAAAAGAAAAGGATGTAAATGAAGGAGAGGAAATAATCTGAAGGTACAAAGCTCACTGGTAATAGTAGGTACATGGAAAAACACAGAATAGTATAACACCGTAATTGTGATGTGTAAACTTCTCTTGACTTAAGTAGAAAGGCTCAATGATGAACCAATCAAAAATAATAACTACAACTTGTGAAGACATAGACAGTATGCTAAGACATAATAAGAAACAACAACAAAGTTAAAAAGCAAGGGGATAAGTTAAAGTGTAGAGTTTTTACTAGTTTTCATTTAGAGTGCTTGTTAATGCAATTACTGTAATGTTGTTATTAGGCTAAAATAATGGGTTATAAGTTAGTATTTGCAAGCCTCATGGTAACCTCAAACTGAAAAACATACAATGGATACACAAAGCCTAGAAAGCAAGAAATTAAAGCATAGTAACAGAGATAATCATTTTCACTAAAAGGAAGACTGGAAGGAATGAATGAAGGAAGAGAAGACCACAGAACAACCAGGAAACACATAACAAATAGTACCAAGCATCTTTTCTGACCACAATGGAATAAAACTAGAAACAAATAACAAGGAATTGTGGAAACTACCAAAACACATGTAAATTAAACAATATGCCCCTAAATGACCAGTGTGTCAATGAAAAAATTTAGAAGGAAATTGAAAAGTTTTTCAAAACAAACCATAATGGAAACAACATACCAAAACCTATGGGATGCAGTGAAAGAAATACTAAGAGGATATTTATAGCTATAAGTGCCTATATTGAAAAAGAAGAAAAACTTCTAATAAATAACCTAATGATGCATCTTAAAAAACTAGAAAAACAAGAGCAAACTGAATCCAAAATTAGTAGAATAAAAGAAATAATAAAGATCAGAAATCAATGAATATGAAATGAAGAAAACAATACAAAAGATCAATGAAACAAAAAGTTGCTTTTTTGAAAAGATAAACAAAATTAACAAACCTTTATCTAGACTAAGAAATAAGCAGAGAAGACACATATAAATAAAATCAGAGATTAAAAAGGAGACATTACAACTGATACCACAGAAAATCAAAGGATAATCCGTGGCTATTATGAGCAACTATATGCAAAAAAATTTGAAAAACTGGAAAAAACAGACAAATTCCTAGACACATACAACCTACCAAGATTGAACCATGAAGATATCCAACATCTGAACAGATCAATAAAAAGTGGAAAGATTGAAGCCATAATAAAAAGTCTCCCGGTAAAGTCTGGGACCTGATAGCTTCCCCATTATATTGTACCAAATATTTAAAGAAAAACTAATGCCAATCCTACTTAAATTGTTCCAACAAATAGAGAAAGAGGGAATACTTCCAAACTCATTCTACAAGGCCAGTATTTCCCTGATACCAAAACCAGACAAAGATACTTCAGAAAAAGAAAACTACAGGTCAATATCTATGATAAAAATTGATGCAAAAGTCATCAACAAAATGTTAGCAAACCAAATTTAACAATACATTAAAAAGATCACTCATCATGACTAAGTGGGATTTGTCCTAAGGATTCAAGTTTGGTTCAACATATGCAATTTAATGTGATATATCACATCAACAGAATAACTAACAAAAACTGTATAATCATTTCAATTGATGCTGAAAAAGCAATGGATAAAATTCAGCATTGCTTCGTGATACAAACCCTGAAAAAACTAGAGATAGAAGGAAGATACCTTAACACAATAAAAGCCATTTGCAAGAGACCCACAGCAAGTATTGTACTGAATAAGGAAAAATAGAAATTATTTCCTATATGATCTGGAACCTGACAAGGATGCTGACTGCCACCACTGTTATTCAACATACCACTGGAAGTCTTAGCTAGAGCAATCAGACAGAAAGAAACACAGGACATCCCAATTGGAAAGGAAGAAGTCAAATTCCTTTGTTTACAGATAATATGCTCTTATATGTGGAAAAACCTAAGGACTCCAAAAAATAACTATTAGAACTGATAAACAAATTCATTAATATTGCAGGATAAAAAAATCAACAAGCAAAATCAGTAGCATTTCTATATGTCAACATTGAACAATCCAAAAAAGAAATAAAAAACTCATTCCACTTACAACAGCCACACATAAAATTAAGTACCTGAAAATTAACTCAATCAAAAAAAGTGGAAGATCTCTACCATGAAAACTATGAAACAATGATGAAAGAAATGGAAGATAATACCAAAAATTGGAAAGATATTTCAGTACATGTATTAGAATAATCAATATTGTTAAAATGTTAGTATTACAAAAAGCAATCTATAGATTCAGTGCAATCCCTATCAAAATACCAAAGACATTCTTCACAGAACTAGAAAAAACAATCCTAAAGTCTGTATGGAACTGCAAAAGGCTCAGAATAGCCAAAGCTCTCCTGGCAAGAAGAAGGAAACAGGAGGAATTACATTGCCTGACTTCAAATTATAGCAAGTGCTATAGGAACCGAAACAGCATGGTACTGGCATAAAAACAGACACATAGACCAATGGAACAGAAAACAAAAACAAATCCACACAACTACAGCAAACTCATTTTTTACAAAAGTGCCACGAACACTCACTGGGGAAAAGACAGTCTCTTCAATAAATGGTGTTGGGAAAACACAATATCCTTATGCAGAAGAATGAAAATTGATGCTATCACTCACCATATAGAAAAATCAAATCAAAATGGATTAAAGACAAACTAAGACTTAAAAATCAAACTATGAAACTACCAAAAGAAAACATAGGGGAAAATATTCAGGACATTGGTCTTGGCAAAAATTTCTTGAGTAATAGCCAACAACCAAAGGCAACCAAAGCAAAAATGGACAAATGGAATCACATCGAGTTAAAATGTTCTGCACAACAAAGGATACAATCAACAAAGTGAAGAGACAACACAAAAAATGTGAAAAAATATTTGTAAGCTACCCATATGACAAGGTGTTAATAACCAGAATATATAAGGAGCTCAAAGAATTCTGTGGAAAATATCTAATAATCCAATTTAGAAATGAGAAAAATATTTAAATAGATGTTTCTCAAAAGAAGCCATACAAATGGCAAAGAATTCTGAAACACTTTTATGAAAAAGTACTCAATATCAATGATTATCAGAGAAATGGCAAATTAAAAGAACAATAAGATATTATCTCACCCCAGTTAAAATGGCTTTTGTCCGGAAGTCAGGCAATAACACAAATGCTGATGAAGATGTGGAAAAAAGGGAATCATCACACACTGTTTGTTGGAATGTGCACTAGTACAACAACTATGGATAACAGTTTGAACATTCCTGAAAAAACTAAAATGAGTCCTACCATACAATCCAGCAACCCCACTGCTGGATCAATACCCAGAAGAAAGGAAATCAGTACATCAAAGAGATATCTGCACTCCCATATTTGTTGCAGCACTGTTCACATAGCCAAGATTTGAAAGACACCTAAGTGTCCATCAACACATAAATGAAAAAGCAAATGCGGTGCATACACACAATGAAGTACTATCCAGCCATAAAAAGAACAAGATCTTGTCATTTGCAACAACATAGAAGGAACTGAAAATCATTATGTTAAGTGAAATATAATGACTGTTTAGTCAGGCACAGAAAGACAAACATCACAGGTTCTTACTTCTTTATTGGATCTAAAAGTCAAAACAACAGAATTCATGGAGATAGAGAGTAGAAGGATGGTTACCAGAGGCTGAGAAGGGTATTGGGGTATGGTGGTGTGGGGGAAGTGGGGATGATTAATGAGTACAAAACAAATAGCTAGAATGAATAAGGAAGACCTAGCATTTGATAGCACAATGTGATAACTACAGTCAATAATCATTTGATTTTACATTTTAAAATAAATAAAAGAATATGATGGCATGTTCATAACACAAAGAACAATGCTTGAGGTAATGGACAGCCAATTCTCCCTGATGTGATTATTATGCATTTCATACCTGTACAAAAATATCTCATGTACTTCATAAATATACATACCTACTATGTACCTACACACATTTTAAATTAAAAAATTTAAAAATAAAATGTTCTTCTATTGATTATATAAAAAGTTTTATGAATTTGTTTTCATGGAATAAAACCAATGCTCATCAAAGACTTCTTTTCCTCTAAATATTTGATTGTATTTTAGTTTAATTTTTGTTTTCCCAAAGTCAATTCAGGGTGGATTCTCAAATAAGTTTATCCACTAAGAGTAATTTACATTTCAGACCCTTGGCATGCTTCTCATTTTTCAAATGAATGTAAAATACTCATTTGATCAGGTAAGTCAAGATACCTGTGAACTAAAGCATGTTTAAGAATGAGATTGGCAGGGAGGAGCCAAGATGGCCGAATAGGAACAGCTCCGGTCTACAGCTCCCAGCCTGAGCGATGCAGAAGAAGGGTGATTTCTGCATTTCCATCTGAGGTACTGGGTTCATCTCACTAGGGAGCGCCAGACAGTGGGCGCAGGTCAGTAGGTGCGCGCACCGTGCACGAGCCGAAGCAGGGTGAGGCATTCCTCACTTGGGAAGTGCAAGGGGTCAGGGAGTTCCCTTTCTGAGTCAAAGAAAGGGGTGATGGACGCACCTGGAAAATCGGATCACTCCTACCCGAATAATGCGCTTTTCTGACCAGCTTAAAAAAATGGCACACCATGAGATTATATCCCGCACCTGGCTCAGAGGGTCCTATGCCCACGGAGTCTCGCTGATTGCTAGCACAGCAGTCTGAGATCAAACTGCAAGGTGGCAGCCAGGCTGGGGGAGGGGCGCCCACCATTGCCCAGGCTTGCTTAGGTAAACAAAGCAGCCTGGAAGCTCGAACTGGGTGGAGCCCACCACAGCTCAAGGAGGCCTGCCTGCCTCTGTAGGCTCCACCTCTGGGGGCAGGGCACAGACAAACAAAAAGACAGCAGTAACCTCTGCAGACTTAAATGTCCCTGTCTGACAGCTTTGAAGAGAGCAGTGGTTCTCCCAGCACGCAGCTGGAGATCTGAGAACGGGCAGACTGCCTCCTCAAGTGGGTCCCTGACCCCTGACCCCCAAGCAGCCTAACTGGGAGGCACCCCCCAGCAGGGGCACACTGACACCTCACACGGCAGGGTATTCCAACAGACCTGCAGCTGAGGGTCCTGTCTGTTAGAAGGAAAACTAACAAACAGAAAGCACATCCACACCAAAAACCCATCTGTATATCACCATCATGAAAGACCAAAAGTAGATAAAACCACAAAGATGGGGAAAAAACAGAACAGAAAAACTGGAAACTCTAAAAAGCAGAGCACCTCTCCTCCTCCAAAGGAACACAGTTCCTCACCAGCAACGGAACAAAGCTGGATGGAGAATGACTTTGACGAGCTGAGAGAAGAAGGCTTCAGACGATCAAATTACTCTGAGCTATGGGAGGACATTCAAACCAAAGGCAAAGAAGTTGAAAACTTTGAAAAAAATTTAGAAGACTGTATGACTAGAATAACCAATACAGAGAAGTGCTTAAAGGAGCTGATGGAGCTGAAAACCAAGGCTCGAGAACTACGTGAAGAATGCAGAAGCCTCAGGAGCCGATGTGATCAACTGGAAGAAAGGGTATCAGCAATGGAAGATGAAATGAATGAAATGAAGTGAGAAGGGAAGTTTAGAGAAAAAAGAATAAAAAGAAATGAGCAAAGCCTCCAAGAAATATGGGACTACGTGAAAAGACCAAATCTACGTCTGATTGGTGTACCTGAAAGTGATGGGGAGAATGGAACCAAGTTGGAAAACACTCTGCAGGATATTATCCAGGAGAACTTCCCCAATCTAGCAAGACAGGCCAACGTTCAGATTCAGGAAATACAGAGAACGCCACAAAGATACTCCTCGAGAAGAGCAACTCCAAGACACATAACTGCCAGATTCACCAAAGTAGAAATGAAGGAAAAAATGTTGAGGGCAGCCAGAGAGAAAGGTCGGGTTACCCTCAAAGGGAAGCCCATCAGACTAACAGCGGATCTCTCAGCAGAAACTCTACAAGCCAGAAGAGAGTGGGGGCCAATATTCAACATTCTTAAAGAAAAGAATTTTCAACCCAGAATTTCATATCCAGCCAAACTAAGCTTCATAAGTGAAGGAGAAATAAAATCCTTTACAGACAAGCAAATGCTGAGAGATTTTGTCACCACCAGGCCTGCCCTAAAAGAGCTCCTGAAGGAAGCGCTAAACATGGAAAGGAACAACTGGTACCAGCCGCTGCAAAATCATGCCAAAATGTAAAGACCATCGAGACTAGGAAGAAACTGCATCAACTAACGAGCAAAATAACCAGCTAACATCATAATGACAGGATCAAATTCACACATAACAATATTAACTTTAAATGTAAATGGACTAAATGCTCCAATTAAAAGACACAGACTGGCAAATTGGATAAACAGTCAAGACCCATCAGTGTGCTGTATTCAGGAAACCCATCTCACGTGCAGAGACACACATAGGCTCAAAATAAAAGGATGGAGGAAGATCTACCAAGCAAATGGAAAACAAAAAAAGGCAGGGGTTGCAATCCTAGTCTCTGATAAAACAGACTTTAAACCAACAAAGATCAAAAGAGACAAAGAAGGCCATTACATAATGGTAAAGGGATCAATTCAACAACAAAAGCCAACTATCCTAAATATATATGCACCCAATACGGGAGCACCCAGATTCATAAAGCAAGTCCTGAGTGACCTACAAAGAGACTTAGACTCCCACACATTAATAATGGGAGACTTTAACACCCCACTGTCAACATTAGACAGATCAACGAGACAGAAAGTTAACAAGGATACCCACGAATTGAACTCAGCTCTGCACCAAGCGGACCTAATAGACATCTACAGAACTCTCCACCTCAAATCAACAGAATATACATTTTTTTCATCACTACACCACTCCTATTCCAAAATTGACCACATACTTGGAAGTAAAGCTCTCCTCAGCAAATGTAAAAGAACAGAGATTATAACAAACTATCTCTCAGACCACAGTGCAATCAAACTAGAACTCAGGATTAAGAATCTCACTCAAAACTGCTCAACTAAATGGAAACTGAACAACCTGCTCCTGAATGACTACTGGGTACATAACGAAATGAAGGCAGAAATAAAGATGTTCTTTGAAACCAACGAGAACAAAGACACAACATACCAGAATCTCTGAGACACATTCAAAGCAGTGTGTAGAGGGAAATTTATAGCACTAAATGCCCACAAGAGAAAGCAGGAAAGATCCAAAAGTGACACCCTAACATCACAATTAAAAGAACTAGAAAAGCAAGAGCAAACACATTCAAAAGCTAGCAGAAGGCAAGAAATAACTAAAATCAGAGCAGAACTGAAGGAAATAGAGACACAAAAAACCCTTCAAAAAATTAATGAATCCAGGAGCTGGTTTTTTGAAAGGATCAACAAAATTGATAGACCGCTAGCAAGACTAATAAAGAAAAAAAGAGAGAAGAATCAAATAGACGCAATAAAAAATGAAAAAGGGGATATCACCACCGATCCCACAGAAATACAAACTACCATCAGAGAATACTACAAACACCTCTATGCAAATAAACTAGAAAATCTAGAAGAAATGGATAAATTCCTCGACACATACACTCTCCCAAGACTAAACCAGGAAGAAGTTCAATCTCTGAATAGACCAATAACAGGATCTGAAATTGTGGCAATAATCAATAGTTTACCAACCAAAAAGACTCCAGGACCAGATGGATTCACAGCCGAATTCTACAAGAGGTACAATGAGGAACTGGTACCATTCCTTCTGAAACTATTCCAATCAATAGAAAAAGAGGGAATCCTCCCTAACTCATTTTATGAGGCCAGCATCATTCTGATACCAAAGCCTGGCAGAGACACAACCAAAAAAGAGAATTTTAGACCAATATCCTTGATGAACATTGATGCAAAAATCCTCAATAAAATACTGGCAAAACGAATCCAGCAGCACATCAAAAAGCTTATCCACCATGATCAAGTGGGCTTCATCCCTGGGATGCAAGGCTGGTTCAATATATGCAAATCAATAAATGTAATCCAGCATATAAACAGAGCCAAAGACACAAACCACATGGTTATCTCAATACATGCAGAAAAAGCCTTTGACAAAATTCAACAACCCTTCATGCTAAAAACTCTCAATAAATTAGGTATCGATGGGATGTATCTCAAAGTAATAAGAGCTATCTATGATAAACCCACAGCCAATCTCATACTGAATGGGCAAAAACTGGAAGCATTCCCTTTGAAAGCTGGCACAAGACAGGGATGCCTCTCTCACCACTCCTATTCAACATAGTGTTGGAAGTTCTGGCCAGGGCAATTAGGCAGAAGAAGGAAATAAAGGGTATTCAATTAGGAAAAGAGGAAGTCAAATTGTCCCTGTTTGCAGACGACATGATTGTATATCTAGAAAACCCCATTGTCTCAGCCCAAAATCTCCTTAAGCTGATAAGCAACTTCAGCAAAGTCTCAGGATACAAAATCAATGTACAAAAATCACAAGCATTCTTATACACCAACAACAGACAAACAGAGAGCCAAATCATGAGTGAACTCCCATTCACAATTGCTTCAAAGAGAATAAAATACCTAGGAATCCAACTTACAAGGGATGTGAAGGACCTCTTCAAGGAGAACTACAAACCACTGCTCAAGGAAATAAAAGAGGATACAAACCAATGGAAGAACATTCCATGCTCATGGGTAGGAAGAATCAATATCGTGAAAATGGCCATACTGCCCAAGGTAATTTACAGATTCAATGCCATCCCCATCAAGCTACCAATGCGTTTCTTCACAGAATTGGAAAAAACTACTTTAAAGTTCATATGGAACCAAAAAAGAGCCCGCATCGCCAAGTCAATCCTAAGCCAAAAGAACAAAGCTGGAGGCATCACACTACCTGACTTCAAACTATACTACAAGGCTACAGTAACCAAAACAGCATGGTACTGGTACCAAAACAGAGATATAGATCAATGGAACAGAACAGAGCCCTCAGAAATAACGCCGCATATCTGCAACTATCTAATCTTTGACAAACCTGAGAAAAACAAGCAATGGGGAAAGGATTCCCTATTTAATAAATGGTGCTGGGAAAACTGGCTAGCCATATGTAGAAAGCTGAAACTGGATGCCTTCCTTACACCTTATACAAAAATCAATTCAAGATGGATTAAAGACTTAAACGTTAGACCTAAAACCATAAAAACCCTAGAAGAAAACCTAGGCATTACCATTCAGGACATAGGCATGGGCAAGGACTTCATGTCTAAAACACCAAAAGCAATGGCAACAAAAGACAAAATTGACAAATGGGATCTAATTAAACTCAAGAGCTTCTGCACAGCAAAAGAAACTACCATCAGAGTGAACAGGCAACCTACAAAATGGGAGAAAATTTTTGCAACCTACTCATCTGACAAAGGGCTAATATCCAGAATCTACAATGAACTCAAACAGATTTACAAGAAAAAAACAAACAACCCCAACAAAAAGTGGGTAAACATGAACAGACACTTCTCAAAGGAAGACATTTATGCAGCCAAAAAACACATGAAAAAATGCTCATCATCACTGGCCGTCAGAGAAATGCAAATCAAAACCACAATGAGATACCATCTCACACCAGTTAGAATGGCAATCATTCAAAAGTCAGGAAACAACAGGTGCTGGAGAGGATGTGGAGAAATAGGAACACTTTTACACTGTTGGTGGGACTGTAAACTAGTTCAACCATTGTGGAAGTCAGTGTGGCGATTCCTCAGGGATCTAGAACTAGAAATACCATTTGACCCAGCCATCCCATTACTGGGTATATACCCAAAGAACTCTAAATCATGCTGCTATAAAGATACATGCCCACGTATGTTTATTACGGCATTATTCACAATAGCAAAGACTTGGAACCAACCCAAATGCCCAACAATGATAGACTGGATTAAGAAAATGTGGCATATATACACCATGGAATACTATGCAGCCATAAAAAATGATGAATTCATGTCCTTTGTAGGGACATGGATGAAATTGGAAATCATCATTCTCAGTAAACTATCGCAGGAACAAAAAACCAAACACTGCATATTCTCACTCATAGGTGGGAACTGAACAATGAGATCACATGGACACAGGAAGGGGAATATCACACTCTGGGGACTGTGGTGGGGTGGGGGGAGTGGGGAGGGATAGCACTGGGAGACATACCTAATGCTAGATGACGAGTTAGTGGGTGCAGCGCACCAGCATGGCACATGTATACATATGTAACTAACCTGCACAATGTGCACATGTACCCTAAAACTTAAAGTATAATAATAAAAAAAAAAGTATGAGATTGGGTTGCAAATTTCTTAGAAGAATGAAACTTTTTGTTTTTAACAAATATCTTTGATATTCAAAATATGTAGCTGCTATAATTCAAAGCACAGAAGATACTTTTATTTTCTCAAGTCAAAGGCCCACGTGCAGAAAAAAAAATACCTTAAACTTTGGCCAGTTTCAGCAATATAGTGATAGTGACAGGAGGCAGCCAAATGCCTAAGCAGATGGGGTGGGTCCCCAGTGAAACCCCACCTTCCAGCCTAAAAAACAGCCTGAAGGCTGAAAAACTGAACTGCTGGTTCAGGATAAAATCCATGACCCAGAGTGAGAACTGTTCCTGTTTGCTTGCGCTTTTCCTATTAATTCTTTCTGAATAATGCCTTTTAACCAATCAAATATTGCCTTTTCCAATATTATCTATGGCCTGTTCCTCCCTTATTCTGAGCCCATGAAAGCCCTGGACTCAGCCACACTGGGGGGACTTTCCCACTTTCGGGTAGGGGGAGCACCCCTATGCCCCCTCTCTGTGGAAAGCTGTTTCATCACTCAATAGAGCTCCCCACCTTAATCACTCTTCAATTGTCAGCATATCTTCATTCTTCTTGAAAACTGGACAAAAACTCAGGGACTGGTTTCAAAGTCAGACTTGGCCCGTGCAGGTTGAGTGGGAGGGCCATCTCCTGCAACAGGTAGCATGTCCAAAGGAGGCCTGGGCAGAGTGTCACTGGCCAGAGGTTCCGGCTTGCAAAGTGACCAAGAGAAAAAGCCTGCCTCATTTTGGGGGCTCACTCGGGATCCCTGAAGGGTGAGTAAATGCAGACCTAGACTCTTTTTTATAAGATTTCTTGTCCTCAGACTTTTTTCTGAAGGCAGATGAAGCAATAAACCTCTGGTGAGCCAATTAAGAATGAATGGTGCAGCTACAGAGGACAGGATGCTAGAGAGGACCCCGACACCTCACTTGTCACTACTAGGGGGTTGGGAATGTAGGCATAGTTCCAATCCAGTCATTTCTATGGCATTCTCCTTCTTTTTTATCATGGCTGTCATGGCACCTATCTCTTCTTTTACAATGTCAAGAATGTTGTTGCAAACTAGGAGTTATTACTTGGTGGAATGAACATTTGGCCCAGCCATCAGATATGCAATTCAGAACAATGCAGTTTCTGCCTATTCTTGGAGGCAAAGAGAAAGCAGAGATTAGAAGTTTCTCTCCCGGCCATGCGCGGTGGCTCACACCTGTAATCCCAGCACTTTGGAAGGCTGAGGCAGGCAGATCACAAGGTCAGGAGATTGAGACCATCCTGGCTAACATGGTGAAACCCATCTCTACTAAAAATACAAAAAATTAGCCGGGCCTGGTGGCGGATGTCTGTAGTCACAGCTACTTGGGAGGCTGAGGAAGGAGAATGGCCTGAACCCGGGAGGCGGAGCTTGCAGTGAGCCGAGATCCCGCAACTGCACTCCAGCCTGGGCCACAGAGGGAGATTTTGTCTCAAAAAATCAATCAATCAATCAATAAAGTTTCTCTCCCTGTTGGAAGAACCTATTTGCATAGAGCAAAAGGAATTTTCCCTCAGGCACCTTCCCCACCCTGCACTTAAGTTGTTTTTTTCTTTTCTTCACCATGTCAGGAGTTAACACAGCCCTGCAAACAAAGGGATCCTTTCTATGTGAGAGGCTTTTTTCTTTTTGAAAGGCATCTTAGGAGGCCAGGACCCCAATTCTCCCTTTCTCTGCCTTGTTTGAGGAGAACCCAGTTCCACAGCTTTAACTTAGCATTGGACTTTTGATGGGAAGCAGTGAAGGGGCAGCTCTGTCAGCTGCTGGCTGCAGTCTGGTGAAGACCGCATGAGACTTAATCTAATGAGTCCATGAACCTTCCTGACACAGTTATTTGTCCTAAAACCAATTCCAAACTTCAGGTTGAAGCCCTAGAAAGAAAACCTGGATTTCAGGGATCCAGAGGCAGACAGCAACAGAAGCCAAGAAGCGCAACACAGGTGAGCATGACTAATTCCTGCCGATTAGGCACCCACACACACACATTTCATCAATAGAGGTCAAGCTAGCATGCATGACATAGAAGAGGTTACCAACAGCAGGGAGGACAGGACAGCATATAGGTAAGTGTGGATAATTGCTACCCTCTAGGCCTCCCTGTTCCACAAGGGTGAAAGTTGCACTGGCACATGGGCCTGCCAAGGTCGCTGGGACTCAGGGATATAAGGATGGAAGGAAAAAAAAAAAAGATGCCATTGTTTCCTCTCCCATATGTATGCTGGGTATTTGCTGAGAAGAGAACGGAACTAAGGGATGCATTGTCCCCCTCTTTCCATATGGGTAACCAACCATCTTCAGTTTCTACTTTTCTTGAATGTGTCCTGAATTGCTGGGACTCCTTTGAAAAAAAAAATGCCTTCTGTTTCCTTTTTCCTCCTCTGTTCTCTCTTCATGAAAAAGTAATTGCTTCCCCATACCATGGACCCTCCCCTCAAATGCATCCCCCAAACTAGGAAAAGTTAATTTTCCCAAAACTTAAACTGTTTGTCTTAAAAATGAACCAGGAAGAAATTACAGATCTAATTGAGAGAATCTCTTGAAGAGGGACAACTTTTACAGTATCCAAATAACCTTTGTCTGCTTCCCCTTCACAGGACTCCAAGGTAGATTAGGCTCCATAGCTCAGGGGAAGGGAATCCGGAAGCCTGACATGCTGGCAAAAAGGTAAAAGTTTTACCAGTCAGACTTCTGGCCTCCCTCTCCCTGTGCAAACAGGTAGAATGAATGACAAAAATTACTGTTTATACTCTCTGTAAGGTTTTGATGAATAGAAAAAAGGATTTGTGAGGCTAGTCTTAAGCTGTAGTGAATCTGTTGTACTTTGTGCTAAGAATTTATCTTTCTGTCAAAAATAGAAACACCTTAGGCTAGAACACAGGCCTAGGACCCTTAAGCCGATTGTTCAAGCCAGCCCAACAAATTGGTCAGTAATAAACTTTGCTGGACATCTCCATCTTGTTTTATGTCCTTGGGAGCTTGACCATGTAACTACATGGCAGTACTTTCTTTTGGTCTCTGCCATTTTACAATGGCAGCCTGGTTTCAATCCTGGCTTAGGGAATGAGCACTTCCTGGTTACTATCTGTGTGAGTTTTATCATTTCTGATTCTCTTCTCCTCCATGAACAACTTCTAGTTTCCTTTCTTAAATCTGCCTTTCTCTGAGATACCTTTAAAGATTCTAGATTTTGTAAAAACTGCCTAACACCTCTTTCTAAATACCTTGTACACTTATGGTTAAATCATATCCTTAGTTAACGCTTGTTGGTTTCACTTGTGAGATTTCTTTTGGTAAAGTTCAAAAGCCTTAAATATTGGCCACTTGGCATGACTAAAGTTGGGTAACAAGGGGTTTAAAAGGATTTTTTTTTAAAGAGCACTGTGGTTAAAAGTCAGCTTAATTAAAAGTGGATATCCAAGCTATAAGTATATTTAAAAGGTCTTTATGGTTTTTTTTTTTCCCCCTCTTCTTGGATCTTGTTTCACTGGAAAATGTTTTTGTTTCCCCCCTCAGTTGACTGAATTATTTTTCCCCATTTTGTCTTGCCACTCTTAATGCATGCATGAAAGGCCCTAAGATAACTTCTGGTAGCCTGGGACTCCCTGGGAAAAATGGAGGAGGCACCACTGACCCCATTTTGGAAAAAAAAATCTCTATTTCCTTATGGAACCCCAAGAATTAAAAGTGGATAAATCCCTCCCAAAATCTGTTTTTGTCTTCCAGCTATTTCTACTGCATGCTTTCCTAGACCTGCTCTTGAAGGGCTCCATCCTGAGGCCAATAAACTAATTAAGAGATTGGCAAATAAAAAAATCTTAAAACCACTGGATCTTTTTCTGTCTGTATAGTTATATACACTGTGATGATTATATAGAAAAGAGCTCTAATTAATTGGCTTGGAGAAAAATAAGTGCTGAGATCAAATGATTTTTGAAGGAAAAATAAAAGCTATATACCTTTTAGTTCATGTAACTTTAATCTTTGAGAAATTTTAAAGATTATTGGTAAAATACAGATGCCTTCAAAATGTAAATATGCAGTCTAAATTATGCAGGTCAGATACTAAGTTTGCTAAATGCTTTAAGGTTATAAACTGCTTCTTTGGCTTTTGAAAATCGTTCAACTTGTCTGCTTTACAGTTTGGCAAGGTCAGGGGACATATGGAAATAACCACACCCCTAACTATGCTGGAAAGAGTCAGACCTTAGCTGCAGCTACTACATAATTAAAATAACTTACCAGGTTTTACATTAAAATTTAAAAATTGCCAAGAGTTATCATTATAACATGTAATTGAGACTACTGAAAATAGATTTACATGCAAGGTATATAAAGGAAAGTGAAATGTGTTTTTAGTAAAAGATTATAAGTAGGTATAGGAATATAAAATTTTGCCTAGTTTAGAGGGTTCAAGTATTGATATAAATCAAGTAAGATAAAGCTAAAAGTTTAAACAAGTGGTGGAAGGTTTATAAAAATTAATCTTGTGAAAGAAACCCTGTGTGTGAACATATTGATTAAATTCAAAAGGCTATTATATAATTTTTCCATTAATTGAGCATTGAAATAAAAACACAGTAAGGTTTTCTTAAGGCAGTGATCTGCTCTTTAACAAAAATTTGTAAAGAATTATAAAAGTTTTGGCTGCATGCAATGGCTCATGTCTGTAATCACAGCACTTTGGGGAATCGAGGTGAGTGGATCACCTGAAGTAAGGAGTTCAAGACCAGCCTGACCAACATGGTGAAACCCCATCTTTACTAAATACAAAAAATTAGCCAGGCGTGGTGGCAGGTGCCTGTAATCACAGCTACTTGGGAGGCTGAGGCAGGAGAATTGCTTGAACCCTGGAGGTAGAGGTTGCAGTGAGCTGAGATTGCACTGTTGCACTCCATTCTAGTCAACAAGAGTGAAACTCTGTCTCAAAAAAAAAAAAAAGCTTTAGAAGAATGTCACCTCATGGTCAAACTGGTTAAGATTGGATAGAATTATCTATAAGATTTCATTTAAAAAATTGGGGTTGTCATTAATATTAGACTAATGCATGATAAAATTTGGCTTTCTCTCCCTTGGACAAGATTTTCATGTAATAGTAAAGGATGATAAAAATCTCTGTTTGCCTTGTGAATAAACTACCAAAAAAACAGGGAGAAGACAGGAGATTGTTTGGAAAACTACATCTGCACTCTTAATAAGTAAAGGTTTTTGCCTGTTTAAAAATTTTTAACTCAAAGTTTTGGCTAAATATTAAATAAATGACTTATGGTAATTTGGAATTCTGTTTCATAATATCAAGTGTTTTAAACCTCTAACATATTTAGGACACTTCCCAAGATCAAATTTCAGCTTCAAAAATTGCCTTTTCTGACCTCTAACTTTTAATTACTACAGAGGGCCCCTGGAGCATCCAAAAGAGAGGTAAACATGATTATTTTACATGTTTAGCTACATGGAATTGGAAAAATAAAAATAGTGAAAAATATTAATATATATTCCAGAATTGTATTGGATTTCTAAAATTCTAACGTCTGAGTATATGCTATCAACTATAATTAATGTTATTATGTTAAGTTATTGTAAAGCACAGAAATAACCACTTTTCTTTGTCAATAGTGGTTTTGACTGTGACTACCTGAAGACATTTGTCATTCACAAACAATTGTTGTTTTGATCCTTTTCAAGAGATGGTTTATAATCAGCTATAGGACTTTGACAGGTGTTCTCAAATGCAGGTTCCTGATAACTTTGGAGATTGTGACATTGGAACGGAGGAAAAACGTACAGAACTCATGAAGAGCTGATATGTTTGTGAATATCAAGCACATCAAGTGTTAATGGAATGGACTGAACTAATAGAAAACTAAAGTAATCTTTTTCAGCTGTTCCTTAAAACATTGCTGGCCCTTGTTTTGTTTTTCAGAGTCAAGGAAACTTTTGAGCTATCAACAGTTTTAACAGTTGAGTAAACTATACTCCTGTGAACAACATTTGGAGCATATTTGTTTCTCTCTGCTTGGTTTCTCTAGAATTTGGAAACTATTTGTGAGTATTCTAAACTTATGGCAATATAGCTATTTGCATCAGTGCAATAAAAGTCCATTTTCTTTCACAACGGAACACAATTGGAGAGGCTTATTGTTTTACCAAGGCTTTGACTGGAAGTGTAGGCCTTTCTTTAAGGAATCAAGCTTGCCTTGCTGAGTCTATAAAAACCGTTTGGGAAAACTGGCCTCATACTTGTCTCTATACAGTCTCTATACACGGTCTCTAAGCTGTGGTGAGTAAAGAATGTCACTTTATAACATACCCAGGAGCCCCATGTTCTTGGGACCTCAAGAAGAGAGGAATTTACCCAACTCACAGGTATTTTAGTGTAAAAACCCATGGCTGGGCTCAGCTTTAAAAGGTCTTATCTGAAATTCCTTGTGGAACATGTCCTATCAAAGCCAATTTTAAAAGCCCATGTGAAAAACAATTATTCTTGCTGCACTTTATGCAAATAATCAGGACAAAAGTATAAGACTAAAGTTTATTTTGCAAACAACTCAGTCCTATCATGATTTATTTTTAACAAAAATGAAGTCTGCAGAGAGAAAAATTATGTTTGAAAACTCACCATACACTTGTCATTAAATTCTAGTCTCATTAGCTGTTTTTAAGTTTTTGCCTACCTTTTAGAATAAGCCTGCTTATTTCTGTGAACTAACCAGTGATCTCAGAAGAAACAGCTCAGAAGAAACAAAAGGAATGGATAATGTAAAATTCTGGATCAATATTCTAGTTCTGGGCAATTATTCTGCAAATCCTTCCAGGTAATAGAAGTAAATAGGGTGTCTATAACCTGGAAATTTTTTTGTTTGGGAAAATAAGACCAACAGAGCTAACCAAAGCCAAGGACAATGCACCCAAGTGTTAGCAGGCATAACTGTAGCCACCAGTTATCTGGGTGTATTGGCAGCCTCAGATTTTTTGAGCTGTTGTTACCCCCTTGTTCCATTTTGATACATGTCTTCTAATAACTTGGTTTGTCTCTTCTCATCTTCAGGTCTTTATATTCCAAATGGTCATACAACCAGAGCCTTGGATGATGACTTCCTTTTACTGGGGAGCCTTAGATAAGCCTCTGAGGGAAATCGGACTGCGGTTTTCCCAAAACAGCACCCCCTGTCAGCAGAAAGCAGTTAAGATCAGTCTTCATCCCCATTCTAATGGCAGTTAGATGTACCTCTTCAGAGGGGGGAAATGATAGCCATAGGAGGCAGCCAGATGCCTAGGAATATAGGGGCAGATCCCTGCTGAAAACCCATCTTCAAGCCAAAAAAACAACCTGAAGGCTGAGTGAACTGCTGGTCCCGGATGAAACCCATGACCAAGAGTGAGAACTTCTGTTCCTGTTTGCCTGTCCTTTCCCAACTGATTATATCTGAATAATGCCTTTTAAGCAATCAAATTTTGCCTTTTCTAATACTACCTACAGCCTGCCCTTCCCCTATTCTGAGCCCATAAAAGCCCCAAACTCAGCCACATTGGGGGGACTTTCCCACCTTAGGGTAGGGGACAACCCTCGGGTCTCCTCTCCATGGAAAGCTGCTTCGTCACTCAAAAGAGTGCCCCACCTTGCTCACTCCTCAATTGTTAGCATATCCTCTTTCATCTTGGACACTAGAAAAGAACTTGGGAACCAGTATTCAAGCCAGACTTGGCCCAGGCAGGCCAAGTGGGTGGGCTGTCTCCTGCGGCAGGTAGCATGGCCAAGCAAGGCCCACGTGGGGCGTTGCCAGCTGGAGGTCCCCAGTTTGCAACATGACTGAGAGAAAAATATTGCGTCAATAACAGTAATACATTAATAATATAAGTAAAATGCAAATGTTTAAAATATCTTCAAAGTTTATAGGAGCCATCATGTAATACAAACTGCCATAAAGCCCTGCTTGAAATTTTTAAAATTGTGACTTCATAATTAGGCAAATACTGATTTTCAGCAAATTACCTTCCAACACATTTGTCATTTGACAAACTGGCTTTCTGAGGATTGATATTTTTCTCCCCTGAGAAGTTGACTTACAATCATATTGTCACTTTCTCCCTCTTTCTCTAAGCTCTAGCCATATGAGAGCATGTCACTTCAGCACATCATGCTCCTCTGCATGTCTTTTAAGATAATGTTTCCTTTGGTTAAACACTCTTTCATCCCCACCCCCACAATTGCCTATTGAAATCCTATTTACTGTCAGCAAGATGCCAGCTTCAGAAAACATTCTCTTAACCCCAGAATAACACTGAGCTGTAGTTATACATTCACTAGTTTGAATATTTGACTAATGACTGTAATAGATTGGATTCTTTTGCCAGTAAATATTTATTACCCTCCTCAGTGATGCAGAGGATACTTCCCTGCTGTATTGATGCTGGGCTTTCATGTGAATTGTTTAGGATAATAGAATCTGGCACATTTCTGAGTCAAGTCCAGGAAGAATCCACCTGTTTTCTTGAGATGTTTTGTTTGTGCTCTTCTGTCATTTACTATGAGAAGAGTGGGCACTGGATAGAAACAGATAATATACTTGAAGCAGAACTGCATCCAATATGCATTTTGCAGTCATAGTCAGTAAAGTCAGAGCCAACCTAGAAACTTGTGCAGGAAAAAAAAATAATGATTTGGCTTTAAACCTCTCAGTTTGGGGGTGGGTTGTTAACAGCATCATTGTAGCAATAGCTAAGTACTACAATGACTATTTCCCAACTATACTGAAATAATTCCTGGGTGAATGAATAAATACATGAAAACTGGAAATAACATAAATTGTATATTATTGCCTACTGGTTAAATAAAACATAATTCATTCTTTTGACAGTGACTATACAGTCATTAAAAATACTGCTTTCAATTTTTTTACTTCTAATGCCTGTTTTATAAAATAATAATATTATTAGGAAAATAATATAGTTCATTATAAAAGGCCAATCTAGATAGGAAATTCCAAAAAATATACAATATAAATACCACAAAATAAACCACTCACACACACATTATTAATTCTAGAAAGGTAGGTATATAGACAGAGAAATAGATGCTAAGATAAAATATTATACAAGTTATTTTAAATTAAAATATAATTTTACTTGAATTAAGTAGAAAGGAAAATTTTGAAGTGAAACTGAAGGAAATACTAAACCCCATAAGATATACTGCCATCTTAAAATAAAACACTCTTGATTTAGAAGACATATTATAAAAATTAAGAGGATAAATGTTTTTATATTACATATTTAAAACGTGGATAGTATATATTGACTTTTTAAAATAAAAGATCCGAGAATTAACACTTTCATACTATCATCAACTTTTTCCCATCCTCATTTTTATTAGTTTCATTATTGAGGTTTATTTAATTTATATCCTATTTTGTAACTATTCCATCACAGTTGTTTAGACCTAAGTAAATTCAATGCTCGCCATGAGTGCTTTTCTAAGCCTTCATTACTGAGATCTTTATTTAAATTCATCTCTTATCTGAATGTCCTTTGAAAGGGAGCCATGAGTCCATTATTATATTAGTTCTTTCATGATTGACAATGTATATCTGTAGTGTCTGAACTTCAAGAATATATTGTTGTGAAATAATTGTACATAGTTGTGGGTATATATTTATTCAGATATATCCCAATTGTCTTATGTGTCACTGAATACTTATGTTTAAAAATCTAAGGCCAACTGGGCATTTTTCTTCTTTACAGGCCTCTAGATATTTTCTATTTGAAGAATCCTTGGTTTTCATTTGAATTGCAATAACTTACAAAGAATGTATCAATACTATTATTGAGTATTCTAAGTCAACAGTTCCTGGAATTTGACTTTGCTTTTTGATATGTAAATTTGGTGTTTGCTTCATTTTAAGAATTTTTAAATATTATTGCCTTGAATATATATACATAATTTTTTTATTTGTTGAGTTTCGCAAAAAATTTTCAGTGATATTGGAAACTGCCTGTTTTAAAATTATAGGTAAAACTTGAAGTTATAAATCTGATATGAGAGAAAAACATTTATGTAACAAAAACAAAAATACAAAGAGATTGTGTAAAAATATATATTGAAATGATGCATTGTTTATACTGGGTTGTCATGGATGATTTGTGTTTATATCTACCTTCACTACAATGCATATTTTTTGTTTGTTCTATATTTTGTTTTAAATGATGAGATTTTGATGCTCCAAAAAAGCCGAAAACAAAAACAAACAGACTGGTTAGTCAGGCTGGTTAGGGGTAAAAATTCAGCTTGCACTTTTATTAAACAATCTTGGGAAAGAAAGTTTTATCATTTTTTTGTGACTCAGGTTTCTTATCTGAAAATTGAGGATAGTAAAAACTGTTCCACAGAGTTATATGAGTTAAATTAGATAAAACATTCAGCCAGTAATCAGTGAATCATACATATTCAATAAAATATATTATATTTGTTACTTTTCAGTGTCTCCAGTGCTACCACCTTACTCCAGATAACCATTATTTCTTGCACAACTTATATTTTATACATTATTTTCCACATAGCAAACCATAGTGTTCTTTAAAAATGAAAAGTAGTTGTCATTTCCTTTATGTAACCAATACAATCAACTTTGTGAAAAAGGGGTACAAAAATAGTCATGTATCTTATTTTTCTAACTAGTGACTTTAGCAAGCACATGTGAACCTAAGGAAGAGGCCCCAAATCTCCCTCTTAAGCTGCTTGCAGCTCTCATTTTTAAGAACTTTAAGGACTTATTCAAAACAAATATCAAAGTAAAAATTGGAACAATTTTTCTGGGAAGCAGTTTTCCAATAACTTCTAAGATGTAAAATTTCTTTGAGCAATTCTACTTCAGAATTTATTTCTACATTAATATTTAGGAAGTATGTACCTGCAAGTATTATATGTATAAAGCTATCTGTGCTACAAAGCTAAAGATAATTGTTTGCTTCACTTGCTAGTAGAAAGGCTAGAAAGAATAATAATCAATAGGATAACAATCAAATAAAATATGCTATATGCTATACTTTAATAAAATGATGCTATCAAAAGAATAAGAGAAATAAATTGGACTTCCAAATTTAAAATGGTAGAATAAAGCCATCTTCCTTTACTTCTCTTCATTGAAATCACCAACATGTAATGAATGGAATAAAATATATAGACATACCTCCAACTCTGATTACTTTAAGAGACAAAGCACTGAGAAATAAACAACAAAGGCTGCTAAACAGGGAAGATTAAAAGGAGTGTGGGAAGATGTGGAGAGAGAATATCTACCCCTACAGATCTACGAAAACGCTGGCAGATTTACTTGAGTGAGCCGTAGTACATAATGAAATACAAAATCACCAACATTTCATTTGCAAAAATATAAGTAGAGTGAACTTGAAGGTAGAAGAACCCATTTAGCAAACATGCTGCAAAGAGGAGTTCCACATGAAAGCACATAGTTAATCCTTATTTGCAGGATCACACTGTCAGTGCAACAGGGTATAATGAAGAGTATGACTCAATTTTTCTTTGACTGCCCACAAATTTTAAAAGCCTTTTCCCTCCCCCTTTGCATTGTTCCCCACATCAGGAAAGCTGATAAGAAAGCCTAGTGTTCCCTCCTTTGACACTGGCAGAAAATCCAAATCATGTAAACTCCTGCCTGTGTACGGGAACTCTCACAATGGACCCACTCCCCATTCACAATAAAGCTCAGAGCCAATCTCTTTCTCTGCTATCTGAAGTTATTTTGGACCTGCCAAGAGGCTTGCTCTGCTTTCCCCCAGAGACCTGAGCTATGTAAATAATAAATTTTTCACACCCTTTTGCATGGGTAGCCTCATCAGTCTGAATATCAGAACAAAATTTTGTGTGGGGATCTATCTGTCTCTCAGATGAAACCAACGCAGAGAAAGAGCAGAAGAAGAACACTCACCAGAAAATTTTCATCATAGAACAGAAGTTTGACTAAATCATCTCCATAAATTTACAAAATTAAGAAATAACTGTTTCTATAACAAAGAGTAAAACCAGAGATGTAATTGCTCAGAGTTGCAATGGAGGGAAGTAGAAGGAGATGAAATTTAAGTTAGCATAACTCAGTAAAAAATTAGAAAAAGAGAAAGAGTGGAAAAAGAGAAAGAAATGTAATATATAACTGAAAGGGCTCAAGACACAGTAGATACCACTGAAAATAGAATGAAGAACATAAAAAACAGTACTTAAAAAGGTAAATGAAGTAAAATGAAAATGAAAAAAACAATAATGATGACTACAAAATAAATATTAAGGAAGATAAGCCAAAAGAGACCATCATATGCCTATCTGGTTTCCCAAATAGAAGAACTATAATAGTGTACAAAACAAAAATGAGAAAATGAAATTTAATGAAAACACTTTTAAGAGAATTCTTTAATCAATAGGTTAAAAAGGCACTCCATGCCACATGCACACAAAAAAAATGACACAGAGTGGTCAACACTGAAACATACCCTAGTAAAGTTTTTGGATATCCAGATATATAAATCAAGCTACCAAAAGGAGGAAAAAAAGTCAGCACACCCTTTTATTTGAGTAATATTCAATGCTAGTAGGAATAATACCTACAAAGTCATAAAGGAAGGTGTGGCTTCAAAATTTGGTCATTCTCTTCTGTGGGTAACAGACAAATAAAAGAACATGCAAAGACTCACATAATCTATTTTCATGAATTCCTCTGCAGGAATTGCTTGAAGAAGCAATTGAAGAAGAGCTTGATATTTATTTCAACTAACAAAATGTTGAGGAAACCACAAAAAAAAATCAATCTGGTAGAGATCATTGAATCTATTTTACTTTAGGTCTCATATTAAAGCAGATGAGATAAAGATTACAGAAGATATTGTAAATGATATGAATGTTGATGATATAGACATTTTATAATTAACAAAATTTTGAAAAATGAACTGAGAAAGAGACAAGTGGAAGTTTAAGTAGACCAATTTTGTCATGTCTCGTGTCTGGGTTTTAGATTAATATTTATAGTTGGTAAAGGGGTAATAAAAGCATCTGTATATTAATTTAAATCTACAAAATTAAATACTGGGAAAATGATATAATTTACTTAAATCAAGTGTAGAAGGGAGAGAATGAAGAAAAATTAAAGTAACCAATTATGCTATTAATCACAGTAGGGAATAAATAAATTCTATATAAAGGAAAAAGATTTGATTAATAAGAAGCAGTGCTTTTCAAGCTATCTGTGGTGAAGAGCAGGGTTTTTTTTCTTCCTTTTTAAAATTTCCAGTCCATCACAAACTGATACTTTTACATACTAAAAATTAATAACCAAATGTGATCCTTCTAGCTGTGTTTGTATGAAGAAGAACAGGTATAAAATTGAATAAGATTGTCAAAGTAGCCATTTAATAGGCTCTGAAAATTGATGTAATATAGACAACAACTTGCAAAGTGTTTATTCTAGAAAAATTGTTACAGCTTCAGATAAGAATGGCAGAAATCTCTGACATTCTTTCCTGGATACATTCATACCTCTGCCCCCAGCAGCTGACAACAGTAGTTTTACCAGCTCAGGGCCCAAATCAGAAGACTTGATTTCACAGGGGTCAAAAACTGGCTAAACTCTGAATGGGTTTCTCAACTGACACATATATTGATAGACGGATTTACATTATAAGATGCTCAGCATCATTAGTCTTACACAAATGCAAATAAAACCACAATGAGCTTCTACATATCTGCTAGAATGGCTAAAATGAAGATTGATGATACACAGAATTGGTAAGGATATGGAGAGACTAAAATCTCACACAGTTTTGGTTGGAAGATAAAAGGTATATCCACTTCAGAAAAGTTTGAGTCTCTTATAAAATTAAATGTGTACTTACAACAGGACACAGCAATTTTTCTCCTAGGTATAGACTCAAATGGAAGAAAAAAAACTTTTATGTGAATATTTGTAGCAGCATTATTCATAATAGCCAACAACTGGAAAAAATTTAAATATCCATCAAATGGTGAATAGATATATAAAATGAAAATTGTTTTTCATTGTGTGAATATGCAAAAACATACAAATCAGCAATAGAAAGAAACAACCTATACATGCTACAATGTAAATAAAGATCAAATTATTAGGTTAGGTTGAAAAAAAAAACTGGATACAAATAACCACACATTGTGAGATTACATTTATATGAAACTTCTAAAGAAGACAAAGCTATAAAGAAGGAAAGCAGACCCGTGCTTTCTTGGAGCTGGGCATACGAGCATGGATTGACTGCACAGAAGTGCAAGGGAGCTTTTTTGGTTCATGAAAGTATTCTAAAACTAGATGGTGATGAAGCTTGCAAAACTATACAAATTTACCAAAAAATTGTTGAGCAGTGCACTCATACTAGGTGAAATGTATAGTATGATAAATTTTATTGTAAATTATACCTCAATACAAAATAAAAACTACCAGAAAAAAGAGATACACTAAATACATATCCCCTATTGTATTGTTATACTCCAAAGACATAAAATTACATTAATAAATATAATCTGAAAACTATAAATAACAAAAATACTAAAATAATAATGAAACTGTACATATTGTTTATCGATTATATCCATATAGCTAATACATAGATGAATTACTATTAGACACTAATGTTTTATTATAACTAAATAAAAATTTGTAACTGTATAGTAATTCTTCATATTAAATTCATACTTTAAGCAAACACCATACTTCTCAATATTTAACATTTTGATATAAATGTGCTTCTTGATTGTTAACTCTTCTGGTTTAGATTGACAATAATGTTTCTCACAATGGATAATGTATAACTAGACTGTTTCTATGTATTACTTTATTAATACTCATAGTAGAGAAACCATTCTTAAAAGTTATATTGCCTGGAATAAAGAAGATATTGTAAAGCCATGTTAAGAAATTAATAATATTTATATTTACTCTCTGTCTAAAATGAGGTAAATGAGGCCTTAATAACTTTTAAATTATTTATGCTTCACTTATTTTTATAATTTTAATATTAATTTAAAATATTTTTATAAATGTGTTTGTATAGAATTTTTATTTATTTATTTGCACTTTAAAAATAAAAATTCCTCTTTAATTCCTTTTTGGTAGACATTCTAATTATACATAATATAAAAGTTAAATTTAAATTACCTTTCAATAAAATAAATGATTACATGAATTACCAATCTGACCTAATACAAATTTTTCATTGGAAATAAAATCCAAGTATTGTGTCAAATGTATGAAATGCTTGACAATAACTTTTTGCAGATGTTCAGCACCAATATAATCACCTACTTCATTAGTAATTGTTGTTAATTATGGAATACTTAAAAACTATCTGGAGAAATTCTGTTCTAACTTTCTAATTTTTACTGAGAATTCTTACATTTTACCCAGTTTACTTATACAATCATCACTGTTGGCAAATTAAAGTATTATGCATTATATCATAATCCTACTAAACACAACTAGTATGCATGTCTTGCTACCTGTGACTCATATGAGCACAGTAACATCGCAACTGGTCTACACTGTCTAGTTCACCTACCTACGTCAATAATCATCTGCTTGGATGTCAATATTGCATCAATGTCAAATCCTGTACTTTTTAAATGCATATTTTCATAGTTTGTACTCATCTCAGTATGAACCAGTAACCAACAGTTGGTAGGCCAGCAATAGTTCAGAGGCTACTCCTTGTATAGCAATAATATAAAGGTAAAAGTAATAACCAAATCAAAATCTCAGGAAAAATATAAAAGAACCTAAAGACAAAAATATACACCTTATACAGAAAGACTTAAAAAGAAGCAATGGATACAGAAAGCATGACATAAGAGATGTATTTGGGATAGAAATACCTATATTAATAAGTGTAAATAGGGAAAGTTCATCCTAAAACTGAAAAAGGTTCTCAGAGTATATCACAAAATATGTATAAATGTAGATGCAAAAATGATGAGAAAGAATTGAGCAGAGCCATGGAAGATAATTTAAAAAAAATAGACAATCTTTCTGTCAGAAAAGCCTAAATTCATGAAAAGGAACATTAAAAGGGAAAAATGAGGCAGTTCATATTGCTGAAAAGAAATATCCACAGTGAATTCTGATATTTAAAAGTATCTATGCCCCAAATAATATGCAATGAATATTCATATGCAGGAATATCAGGAAATAAAATAAGAAATAATTTTTAAAAAGACAGTTGTAAGTACTTTGTAAGTAGGTTACAGATCGTATAAACAAAATAAAGCAAGAACGGAGAAAACCCAAAGAGCCTACACAATTAGTTAAATCTGTAAACAAAAAAATATCTTCTTTAAAGCTTCTCCAAGATTATTCATTAATCTAGCCATGTATTAAGCCTCACAAAAATCTCCATAAATTTTAAAATAAAAATAGTACCAAACAATATCCTCTGAGCATAATGCAACTAAAGTAGAAATGAATAACACACAAACAAACAAGAGCACCAGAAATATTTAAAATCTCTTTTAAACAACCGTTAAGCCAAAGAGGAACACTACTTTTGGATTCTACTTTTGAATACTACTTTGTGGATACTACTTTTCAGCAATATAAACTGCCTCATTTTTCCCTTTAATGTTCCTTTTCATGAGCCTTTTCTGAAAGAAAGATTGTCTATTTTTTTGTAATTATCTTCCATGACTCTGCTCAATTCATTTTTAACATTTTTGCATCTATATTTATACATATTTCGTGTATGTTTGTGTGTGTGTATATATATGTTATATATATATATTACATATAGGTAATATATAGAAATATATGTTATACATTATACATATATGTTATATATATGCACAGGGGTACATATACATCTCTTAGTATTTTCTGTTAGATATAGATAGATAGATATAGATAGACAGACAGACAGACAGACAGATAGATAGATAGATAGATAGATAGATAGATAGTTTTTTTGTTTTTTGTTTTTTTGAGACAACCTCTGACTCCCAGGTTCAAGCAATTCTCGTGCCTCAGCCTCCTGAGTAGCTGGGACAACAGGTGCACACCACCACGCCTAGTTAATTTTTTGTATTTTTAGTAGAGATGGGGTTTCACCCTGTTGGCCAGCCTGGTCTCAAACTTTTGACCTCAAGTGATCCACCCGCCTTGGCCTCCCAAAGTGCTGGGATTACAGGTGTGAGCCACTGAGTCCAGCCTTTATATATATTTTTGTAATATCTGTTAGCTACATATAAATGCAAAAGGACAAAGATTACCATTCTTTGCAAATGTTATTACTGGATTTCTTAGATAAGAGAATCAATATTCTCATCACTGCTGCTCCTACTACCATTAATATTAACAATGATTACTATTAAAAAAATCTAATAATGTGATGTTGATGATTTTATTTGTCCCCTTTTTTTTAACTTTTATTTTAAGTTCAGGGGTACATGTGCAGGTTTGTTATATAGGTAAACTTGTGTCATGGCAGCTTGTTGTACAGATTATTTCATCACCCAAGTATTAAGCCTAGAACCCACTAATTATTTTTCCTGATCCTCTGCCTCCTCCCACCCTCTACCCTCCAAAAGTTCCCAGTGTGTTGTTTTCCTCTACGCGTCCATGTGTTCTCATTGTTCAGCTCCCACTTATAAGAAAGAACATGACAGTATTTGGTTTTCTGTTCCTGCATTAGTTTGCTAGAGATTTTTCAAATAAATAACAATCAATCCATTAAAATATGACAGAAAAAAATATAAAATGACATCAAAAAGATAAACAGAGTAAATAAGAATTTTTTGTTTAAAAAAATCTATGAAAAAATCTTAAATTACTTATTTTGAACATAAATACAGTTTTTTTAAATGAAAGAAATATCTTATTCTCAGAAAGAAATACCAAAAATCAGAAAATTCTCAATGCTGCTTAAGTTAATCAATGAATATAATTCAGTGCCCCTAAAATATCAGTGTCTATTATGTCTGTACTAATGTTTATACTCATCTATGATTTGTAAAACTATATTAGTCAATTAAAAAATTCTCCTGGAAAAATACCCATTGTATTAGTCTATTTTAACACTGCTATAAAGAACTACCTAAGACAGGGTAATTTCTGAAGAAAAGAGGTTTAATTGACTCGCAGTTCTGCAAGAAGCATGGCTAAGAGGCCTCAGGAAACTTACAATCATGGCAGAAAGCAAAGGGGAAGCAAGCACATCTTAGCATGGCAGAGTAGGGTACAGAGAGAGAGAGAACTGCCACATACTTTTAAGCCATCAGTTCTCGTGAGAACTCATTCACCATCATGAAAACAGCATCGGGAAACCGCCCCCATGATCCAGTCACCTCCCACCGGGTCCCTCCTTCAAAACGTGGGGATTTGACAATTTGACATGAGATTTGGGTGAAGACACAGAACCAAACCATATCACCCATACAAGAAGAGCAAAGAAAATTCTTAAAATGTAATAAGGGTATTAATAAAGATATTAGTAATACTTAATATCTTTACTAATATCTAGATATTAGTAAAGATATTACTTTACTAATATTAAGTATTACTAATATTAGTAAAGATATTAAGTATTACTAATATCTTTAATACCCTTAATAATATTTTGGACATTAAGTATTATTGATATATTAATATATTTACTAGATATTAAATATTATTTATCCAGAATAAATAAATGTGGCATTGACTCATGGAAGAACTGAAAATTCAAAGATTAAAATAGAAACCAAGAGATAGTCTTCAATACATCTGAGAACACAGAATATAATAAAGTTGACATTTCAAATATATATTAAAAATAAATTATTCTACAAATGGTGTTGGGACAACTGACTATCTGGGAAAAATGGGTTCTTATAACACACTTGATTACAAGTTAAATTTCAGATTATTAAATAACCCAAATCCAAGGCAGAAGTCATTTAAAAAGTTTGATAAATTTGAATGCATAAAAATTATGTGATGGGAAATATACAATAAGCAAAATCAAAAACACATGACATCTGAAAATCACAGACATACAGCAAATTACCTCAACATATAGTATTTCTACCCAATCAATATGAAAAATGACTAACAGCCCAAGAGAAACATGGGAGACACAAAGGAAGACAGTTCACAGAAATAGAAAAGCAATTGGCCTAAAAATGTGAAAATACTCAGCCTCCCTCATAAAAAAAAAAGAGAAGTACAAAACAAGGTAATATTTTAAATAAAACATAGTAATTACGTTGGAAAAGAAGCAACCTTTAATTTATGTGTGTGCATGGGTGTGTGTGTGTGTGTGTGCTGGACGGGGCATGTGCTTGTAACTCAATGAAATATCTGGCAAATCTCTGTAAAGATAACCAAGAAATTGGTCACATGATTGTTGCTAATAAACAAGACTGGATGCTGGAGAATGGGCAGTCAACTTTATGCTTTATAATTTTTGCAACTTTTGAATTCTATGACATTGCCTCGATTACCTGTTCACACAAATAAAGTTAAAGGAAAGCAAGACAAAAAGAAGTATATTTCTAACTGCAGAAATGGAACTATCTCCAAGATATATGCTTAAGTAACTCAAGATACAAAATTAATGAAACTAATGAAAGTGTGCTTCTGAATGTGTTTAACTCAGTTATGTATGTACTGTTTTTCTGCATTTGTGTAAATAATTCCTGGAATGATATTGCCTCTAGCAAGGACTGGAGAACTAAGATCAACTGTGGGAAGTTGACTTGCTTTCTATTTTTTTATTTCATTGCTGTTTGAATTATTTATTATGGACATGTTACTTTTCCAAAGAAACAAAATTAAATACTCTCTAATAATCTCTCAATTTTATTTTATTTTATTATTATTATTTATTTATTAATTTTTTGACGGAGTCTAGCTCTGTCGCCAGGGTGGAGTGCAGTGTTGCCATCTTGGCTCACTGCAACCTCCGCCTCCTGGGTTCAAGCGATTCTCCTGCCTCAGCCTCCTGAGTAGCTGGGATTACAGGCATGCACCACCACAACTGGCTAATTTTTGTATTTTTAGTAGAGACATGGTTTCACCATGTTGGCCAGGATGGTCTCGATCTCCTGACCTCGTGATCCATCCACCTTGGCCTCCCAAAGTGCTGGGATTACAGGCGTGAGCCACCACGCCCAGCCCATTTTATCTTTTCTATCCTAAGATATTTGTTTACTTTCTAGTTAAGTTTTACCTATAAATATTCCAATATATATTTCCTTTCATTTATTTATTTTATTATTTTGATTTTCACTTTCTAATCTGTCTTATTAATTGTGGTGGAGATTTAGGTGCCATGTAGAACTCTGGCTCCTTTGTAGCTCTCTACGAAAGTGCAAGTTCTACTTTTTTTCTTTTATTTTTTGTACACCAAAAATATTAAGTTATCCTTGATTGTATGATTGGCAAGTGCGGTTGATATTGTATAATAAAATATATATATATTCATATAGATTAAAACAAGCTTGATTAAAAATGAAATGTTTTTAAAGCAACCTACGAAAAAGCACATAGCGGCCGGGCGCAGAGGCTCACGCCTGTAATCCCAACACTTTGGGAGGCCAAGGGGGGCAGATCACGAGGGCAGGAGATCGAGGCCATCCTGGCTAACACGGTGAAACCTCGACTTTACTAAAAATACAAAAAATTAGCCGGGTGTGGTGGTGGGCATCTGTAGTTCCAGCTACTCAGGAGGCTGAGGCAGGAGAATGGCGTGAACCCGGGAGGCGGAGCTTGCAGTGAGCCGAGATCACGCCACTGCACTCCAGCCTGGGCGACAGAGTAAGACTCTGTCTCAAAAAAAAAAAAAAGCACATAGCAAGCCATTCTTTTTTTTTTTTTTTTTTCAAAAATAGCCAATGATCATTTTTTTGGAAGAGGCCTTCAAAATAATTTTTAAAAAGAATTGAAAGACAAAATTTAAATTGAATTGAATTTAAATTATTTTGAATTTAAATTTAATTATCTTAAAAGTCCTTGAGATGCAATGGCTCTTCTCAGATATCTTTATAGATAATGCATTCTCACTTCTGTCAAGTATGTGCTCAAATGTCACCTCAATTGAGAGGCCTTTCATAATCTACCTATCTGAAACTGCACTGTCCTTCACCTTGTCTCACTCAGCTCAAGTTTTCTTCTTGCCACACATAATTACCTGATAAGTAAGTAGGTAGATAGATGATGGATAGATAGACAGGCAGACAGACAGACAGATAATAGATATAATTTAAATTTAATTATTTTAATTTAAATTTTATATAATTTAAATTTAATTATTTTAATTTAAATTTTATATAATTTAAAATTTTAACGTGTGGTTTGATGTGCTGAATAATCAAAATCAAGTTGAGTTGGACAAAGATAATTATTTGGACCTTAAGCATGTATAAACAGGTATTTTTACCACTTGTTTCTTAAAGTTGAAAATAATAATAGATTCTGATATTAAAAGAATTTATTTTTGGACTAGAAATACCATTATTCCAAATGGAGCCATCTTTCTCATGAAATCAAGGTAAATTGTGTGTATGGGTGGTGCGTGTGTAGAAACAAAGAAATTATTCAGATTTAAGCAGGGAGAATGGTACCTCTACAGCTTGTTTTAAGCATCTGGCAACTTTACACCCTCTTTATCCTTGTGATTTACTATTCTAAATCAGGCTAATCTGATTGAATCTCTCAGCATCATCATCATTATTGTGAACTAAAAACCAGTCCCAGAAAAGTACTCATCCATCCAAACACAAGTACAGGCAGTATGGCAGAACTGGTCTCCTGATTTTATACATTTGAATAAATACTTGCTATTATTTCACAAGATTCCTAAACCATTTAGCAATAATTTAAAATATCAAATGCATCATTCCTATAAAAGTAAATTTCTCTGCCAAGATACTTTTCCCACTTTTTACTTATTGAATGATACTCTAATGAGCTTTGGTACTCAACATTTGGGAAAAAACAAAGTGCCTGTCTCATCTCAGTTATTTTCACATCCTTACCTTTTTTTAAAATAAGGAGGAAGGACTATTTATTGACTTTGGTATTCACAAATCAGCCCTAATTGCTAATTGAAATATCATTTATTTTCTGAATGAAGACCAGTTTGTTAGTAATGAATCTTGCTATTGCTGCCAAAATAGACTTTTAAAAAATGTTTTATTTATTCACAACAGTATTAAGATGCAATGACATACCAGATCATTTAAAAATTCCCCCGGGTTAAAAAAAATATATATATAAGTTCTAATTCCTTTCAGCAGACTAGAACTTTAGAAATCTACTTCCACTATTCATCTAAAAGTTGGAACAGTACCAAAACTGCAACCATTGAAATCAATAAACAAGAAAAAGAGATTTAAAAAGACTTGCATATAGAAGAAAACTGTTCACAGCTAGAACACCTAACTGTGGGGAACTCAGTTCCCCATAATAAAAATACATGGATTGTAGAACTTCTTAAACATCAGCTGTATTAGTCCATTTCCATACTGCTATAAAGAACTGCCCAAGACTGGGTAATTTATAAAGGAAACAGGTTTAATTGACTCAGTTCAGCATGACTGGGGAGAAACTTACAATCATGGCAGAAAGTGAAGAGGAAGCAAGACACCTTCTTCACAAGGCAGTAGGAAGGAGAAGTGCCAATCGAAGAGCCCCTTATAAAACTATCAGATCTTGTGAGAATTCACTCACTATCATGAGAACAGCATGGGGAAAACCACCCCAATGATTCAATTACCTCCACCTGGTCTCTCCCTTCACACGAGGGGATTATGGGGATTACAATTCAAGGTGAGATTTGGGTAGGGACACAAAGCCTAACCATATCATCAGTTTTCAAAAGTGAGGGGACCAATCAATTTCTAGTAAAGATGGAGTAATAAAGTCACACTATGGAACAATTATTTTACTGCATTTGTAGAAACTGCATTAAACAAATATTCTACAGGCGCATGAAAATGGCTGGGGTGTGTCTGTGTGTGTACACATGCATGCAAACTTGCAATAGTTATAATTTGTCTCCTAGACTCCTTACACCCCCTTGCTTCCTCCTCCTTTATCCCTCTTAGCATCCTCATATCTACCACAGAGTTGCCCTCAAATCCCCTCAATGCAAAGCCTTTTCTCAGATATCTTTATAGCTAACTCTTCCTCACCTATTTCAAGTATGTGCTCAAATGTCATCTCAACTGAGAGGATTTTCATAATCCACCTATCAGAAACTGCTCTCTCATTCACCTTGTATCACTCAGCTTGTTTCCTTCTTGCCATGTATTACCTGATAAGTAGGTGGGTAGATAGGTGATAGATAGATAGATAGATAGATAGATAGATAGATAGATAGATAATAGATAGATAGGCAGATAGATGACAGGTAGATAATTTTTTCCCCTCGCCTAGGAAATCAGATAATGGATGGTCTTTTTGCTGTGGAATTTTTACTCCCTAAAACAAAGCAAATATACTCTAAAAATTAGGGTCAATATAATGGACATCATACTGAGTAGAATTTATTCAATAAGTTACTAGAAAATAGTTGATGACAAATGATTTAAACAACCCAAGCAAGCAAACATATTTTCATTGAGACTTTGTCTTATTGCAGAAGTGTGACAGGCATGGAGTCCTAGGTTTATGATTTTTGATTGAGACAAAATGCAAATTCACTAAGTAGATCTTTATCCCATGTAATGAATGTTTGGCATAAATGTTTGGCAATGTTTGGCATAAATCATTATAAGAAAACTTCCATATAACTGATGCAATGATTAAATCAGTTTCTACAAGTCTTCTCAAATTGCTCTATATTAGTATCAATACCAAAAGTAGATAGCAAACACATAGAAGACTTTCATATCCAAGGAACCTGCCAACAATACAGGGATGTAATACGGTAGTTAAGAGAGGAATATGAAATGAGACTGCTCTTTTCAAATTATAGGTCTGTCATTTAATAGCTGTAGAATTTTATGGCGAACTTATTTAGCTTTTCTAAATGCTTTTCTTCATCTATAATAAGTGCTTACTTTTATAGAATAATGCAAGGATTTTTTTAATCAACATAAAGTACTTAGTAGTGCTTGGCACACAGAATGTGCTCAATAAATGTGAGTTCCTATTAAGTTATGCTTTTTTTGTTGTTGTTTTTTATAGCGATAACGTCTCCCTGTATTGCCCAGGATTGTCTCAAACTCCCGATTTCAAGTGATCTACCTGCCGTCGCCTCCCAAAATGCTAGGATTACAGGCATGAGGCACTGCACCCAGCCAAGTATTTATTTGTTCTTAAAAATCAAGAATGGCATATTTTGTTCAGCAAATAATTATTGAGTGACTTCCAGGTTTCATTCATCATTAAATATTTCACAAGAGCATTCCCATCTTAGAAACTTTTGTGGACATTAAACACTTAGACAAATCAAAAAACTACATAATTTTTGGAGGTTTTTCAAAAAAACTAAAAATAGAGCTATCATACAATTCAGCAATCCCACTGCTGGGTATATACCCAAAGGGAAGAAAATCACCATATGGAAGAAATATCTGCATTCCTATGTTTGTTGCAGCACTGTTTACAATAGCTAAGATTTGGAAGCAACCTAAGTGACCATTAACAGATGAAGGGATAAAAAAACAAGTGGTACCTGTACACAATGGAGTACTATTCAGCCATAAAAAGAACGAGATTCAGTCATTTGCAACAACATGGATGGAACTGGAGATCATTATATTATGTGAAATGTGTCAGGCAGAGAAAGACAAACATTACATGTTCTTACTTAATTGTAGGATCTAAAAATCAAAATGTTTAGGATCGAAAAATCAAAATTCATGAACATAGAGAGTAGAAGGATGGTTACCAGAGGCTGGGAAAGGTAATGGGGGTTGTGGAGTGGAGAAGGGGATAGATAATGGGTACCAAAAAATAGTTAGAATAAGTGAGGCCTACTATTTGATAGCACAATAGGGTGACCACTGTCAATAAAATAACTTAATTGTGCATTTTTAAATATCTTAAAGGGTGGAATCGAATTGTTTGTAACTCAAAAGATAAATGCTTGAGGAGATGAAAACAAATACAAATAAATAAAAACAATTAAACATTTTTATTTGTTTTGTTTTCTCCCAGGAACCCAGTTTAGACTATACTTACCTTCTGGAACACTTTTCTCAGTTATTCAGCTCCTCCCTGACAATCACATCCTTTCCAAATATCCTAACTATCTATAAAGATACAACAACATGCATTTAACTTTTTGGAAGGGGTAAAGGGGAACATTTCTTTTCTTCTAATTTTCTTCATTTCCCTTAAGAAGCACTCTTTACTACTAGAATGTAACATAAGTCAGCATCATTGGATGTGTTACAAGCAATGTGTATCTTCATGTGTCATTTGGAAATTATAATTTCTCATAAAGTGCATCATCTTATCTAGTGTCTAACACAACATGGATTTCACTATCACTTGCCTTAAGGATAGGGCTTCTATCTTGTTCCACTTTGTATCTCCAAGAACTGACAAGTACCTAACACATATCTGGTGTTAGGTAATTGATTATTAACTGTTAAATGTTGATTCAATGTGTCAGAAAAATATCTGATGCAGGACATTTTTCTGCACAAGAATTTTCTATAATTTTTATAAATACAATAAATTCATGTACCTTTGAATAACAATGTTAGGATTAACAGAAATAATTAAATGTGTGTAGAATATTCTTGATTCCTGATATGATTTGGCTGTGTCCCCACCCAAATCTTATGTTGAATTTTAACTCCCACAATTTACATGTGTCATGGGAAGAACCTGGTGAGAGGTGATTGAATTATGAGGGTGTCTTTCCTGTGCTCTTCTTGTAATAGTGAATTAGTCTCATGAGATCTGATGGTTTTAGAAACAGGAGTTTCCCTGCACAAGCTCTCTTCTCTTATCTGCTGCCATGTCAGACATACCTTTCACCTTCTGCCATGATTGTGAGACCTCCACAGCCACATGGAACTATAAGTCCAATAAACTTTTCTTTTGTAAATTGCCTCATCTTGGGTATGTCTTTATCAGCAGTGTGAAAATGGACTAATACAGTAAATTGGTACTAGTAGAGTGGGGCATTGCTGAAAAGATACCCAAAAATGTGGAAGTGACTTTGGAACTGGGTAACAGGCAGCAGTTGGAACAGTTTGGAGGGCTCAGAAGAAGACAGGAAAATGTACGAACGTTTGAAACTCTCTAGAGACTTGTTGAATGTCTTTGACAAAAATGCTGATAGTGATATGAACAATAAGGTCCAGGCTGAGGTGTTCTCAGATGGAAATGAGGAACTTGTTGGGAACTGGAGCAAAGGTGACTCTTGTTATGTTTTAGCAAAGAGACTGGTGGCATTTTGCCTCTGCCCTGGAGATCTGTGAAATTGAGACAGATGATTTAGGGTACCTGGTGGAAGATATTTCTAAGCAGCAAAGCATTCAAGATGTGACTTGGGTGCTGTTAAAGGCATTCCATTTTATAAGGGAAACAGGGCATAAAAGTTCAGAAAATTTGCATGCTGACAACGTGATAGAAAAAAAAAAAATCCCATTTTCTGAGGAGAAATTCAAACCAACGGCAGAAAGTAATGAGGAGCTGAGTGTTAATTCCCAAAACAATGAGAAAAATGTCTCCAGGGCATGTCAGAGGTTTTTATGGCAGCCCCTCCTATCACAGGCCCCAAGGCCTAGGAGGAAAAAGTGTTTTTCTGGGCTAGGCTCAGGGTCCCTGTGCTGTGTGCACCCTGGGGACTTGGTGCCCTCTGTGCCAGCTGCTCCAGCCATGGCTGAAAGGGGCCAATGTAGAGCTCAGGCCATGGTTTCATAGGCTGCAAGCCCCAAGCCTTGGTAGCCTCCAAGTGGTGTTGGGCCTGCAGGTGCACACAAGTCAATAATTGGGGTTTGGGAACCTCCACCTAGATTTCAGAGGATGTATGGAAATGCCTGAATGTCCAGGCATAAATTCACTGCAGGGGCAGGCCTCTCATGGAGAACCTCTGCCAAAGGAAGTGCAGAAGGAAAATGTGGGGTTGGAGACCCCATCAGGGTCCCTGCTGGGACAGTGCCTAGTGGAGCTGTGAGAAGAGGGTCACCATCTTCCAGACCCTAGAATAGTAGATCCACTGACAGCTTGCACTGTGCACCTAGAAAAGCCACAGACACTCAATGCCAGCCCATGAAAGCAGCTGGGAGGGAGGCTGTACCAGGCAAAGTCACAGGAGAAGAGCTGCCCAAGACAATGGGAACCCACTTCTTGCATCAGCATGACCGGCATGTGAAACATGGAGTCAAATGAGACCATTTTGGAGCTTTAAGATTTGACTGCCCTGTGGGATTTTTGACTTGCATGGGGTCTATAGCCCCTTTGTTTTGGCCAATTTCTCCTATTTGGAATGGCTGTATTTACCCAATGCCTGTACCCCCATTGTATCTAGGAAGTAACTAACTTGCTTTTAATTTTGCAGGCTCATAGGCAAAAGGGACTTGCCTTGTTTCAGATAAGGCTTTGGACTGCGGACTTTTAAGTTATTGCTGAAATGAGTTAAGACTTTGGGGGACTGTTGGGAAGACATGATTGGTTTTGAAATGTGAGGACATGAGATTTGGGAGGGGCCGGGGCAGAATTATATGATTTGGCTGTGTTGCCACCCAAATCTCATCTTAAATTGTAATTTCCACAATTCTCATGTGTCATGGGAGGAACCTGGTGGGAGGTGATTGAATTATGGGGGGTGGGTTTTTCCTGCACCATTCTTGTGATAGTGAAGGAGTTTCATGAGATTTGATGGTTTCACAAATGGGAGTTTCCCTGCACAAGCTCTCTTCTCTTGTCTGCTGCCATGTGAAACATGCCTTTCACCTTCCACCATGATTGTGAGGCCTCCCCAGGCACGTGGAATTGTAAGTTCAATAAACCTTTTTTGTTTTGTAATTGCCCAGTCTCAGGTATGTCTTTATTAGCAGCGTAAAAATGAACTAACACAATTCCTAAATAAAAGATAAAAATCTTAATTGTTTTCTAAGAAAAAGCTTTTATAAGTAGCTTTGAATTCTAATCTAAAAATCATAAGGAAAATCCATTTTGAGGTTCAAGACAGAAGTTGATTACTAAGATCAAACTTTGTTTTCTAAAATGATTCTAAAAGTTGTGGTTCATGGTTCATTCACTTGTGATGAAGGCTGAAAAAAAAGGTGTATTAAAGAGGGAATGTTCTGTTTCTATCTTTGTTCTTTTCTTCTTTCATGCCCCTCCATCTCTTGAGAAAAACTGTACTTTTATCAACTCATTCTTACAATTTTTATGTAGGAACTTTAAAGGATGAGTGAGTGGACAGAAACAAGACTAAATAATGAGTACAGAGAAATTAGGAGTAAAATCAAGACATGAGAAACTTCATAAGTTGAAATTCAGGCAATTTTGTTGGAGAGATAGGGTAAGATTTAGAAAATAAGAGGCATCTCAGAACCTGCAGGCTGTGAGTAAATTAGGAGAGGGTAAAAGGAGGATGGGGGTGAATGTTTGTAAGTCATATATTTGATTAGAATGTAAAGTAATTTGAGAGATACAAGTTAAATTGGTGTTACATTCTAATTATCTTTTTAAAGTACTTTTAAACTGTGTTTTAAAAAAATTGTGACATGAAGTTAAAACTGGGCCATATAGGTCACTGAAGTGACAATTAGAATACTTAACACATTGGAAATGTGTGTTACTAGGGGAAAAGGATTCTAACATTTATTAGTATCAATTATTACATGCCCTATTCTATTTATAAGTAGGAATTTTTGCTTTTAATGTTCATAGCCAAGCTGTGCTTAAAAGTGAGTAAACCAAAATTTAGCAAGATTAAGTAATTAGCCTAAACTAATAATTAATAGATACAAAACTCAAACCCAGTTATCTTATTCTGAAGCGTATAAACTTTCTACTGTATTCTGCAACATTTATGTAAGCAACAAAAACTGGTATGTCAATGAAACAAACTCATAGCCAATCCTAAACAAATATTAAAAGCAAACAAAAATATTTTATTTGAATTAAATTGATTACAGATATTTCAATTGAAATGCTACCTTTTTGATATGGCTGACTATGTTTTGTTTGTTGAGTAGAGTGTAATAACATATCACTGTTAAGCAAATTATTTCAGAAAATTATTATTTCAAGATAACTCCTTTTATAAATTAGATATCTGTTTAATACCACTCCCACTGTGCTAATTCATGATGTAATTCATCACATATAAATATTAGAGAAATAGTCTCTTTTTATTTATTTTCAGACACCTGTAATCGATCCAGAGACTAGTTGCTGTATTTGAAATGAACCTAGCAAATAGATAATGAATGAGTAAGGAGCTCCTTTTATCATCTGCTTGCTCTTAGACATCCTAATTAAATTTGTGTAGTCTGAAAATACCTAACGGTAAATTTTCTTGTTATTCTAAAAGACTATAAACATTTTCATTGCAATGTTATTCAATTCATCATAATAGAGTCTTTGGGTGGTATCCCCCAAAATACAAATAAGTTAGAAAATGTATTCTCAGCTCCCAGGTCACTGTATATATGATGATATCAGACAATTCATTTTTCTCTGTTATTTACCAACATAATTACATCAGTTCATGCAATACAAGCCATTAAATCACAATAAGAAGAGGTCATGGGGTAAATTTTGTTTTGTGAAGATTTTGTATGTAATAAAAGTCAATTTTGCTATCAAATGTGCAAATGATTAAGGAAATAAAGCTATATAAGGGAGAAAATTCAAAATAGAAAATGCTGATCTCATATGCAATCAATCAGATCTTGAAAATGTAAACATTCATAGATGTAAATTAATATTAATATTAATATTAATATAATCTGGTGGACTGGAGCTGTTTATCTCGATTTGGGGAATCCATGAAGAGAAAATTGTTCAAACCTGAAGAGTAATTTCTTGACATTAGAAATTGTGAAACTCTGATGCACTACTGGAAAGATTTTTCCCATCTGAAATTACTTCAACATAGTCTATCAACCCACAAATGGATATTTTGCTTCTGCTGTGCATCATAACATAAATGCATATAAAATACAAGAAAAGGCAAAGACCTAGATTGTGTCCTTCCAGAACTGTAGTGTAGTTGGGGTACTTACATGTAGGCACATAACGTAATTAATAAAACCAAGGCATAAACACAAGGCAAGTCAGTAAATACACACAGAAGTTTAAAAGAAGGAATAATTACTACTGGAATAGGAAGTGAGTGAGTGACAGAATTTAAAATAGAACTTGTGTATGAGATAAATCTGCAAAAAGAGATTCTACATATGGTTAAGATCATGTAAAACAGAATAAAATTAGGAAAACACAGGACATGAGACAGTAGCATGCCTATATTATTTGGAGTAGATAATTTGTATACAAGAATATTTGGAGTTAAAATTGAATAAGTAGCTTGTGACCAAGCTGTAAAGATTCTTGAATATCAGGTTAAGAAGCACTATTTTTTACTATGGTCAGTGGAAAAAGTGATGTTTAAAAGATTAATTTTGCTCATTTTTTAAAATAATTTCAACTTTTATTTCAGATTCAGAGGGCAAGTGTGCAGGTTTGTTACCTGGGTATACTGTGTGATGCTGAGGTTTAGGGGTATGATTAATGCCATCACCTAGGTGCTGAGTATAGTACCCAAAAGTCAGAATTTCAACCTTTGTTTCCCTCCTGCCATTCCCCCTCTAGTAGTTCTTACTGTCTATCGTTGCCATTTTTATGATCAGGAGTACCCATTGTTTAGCTCCCACGTATAAGTGAGAAGATGCAATATTTGTTTCTCTGTTTCTGCATTAGATCACTTAGGATAATGGCCTCTAGCTACATCCATGTTGCTGCAAAGGGCACAATAAAGCCGTGTAGTATCCCATGGTGTATACACCACATTTTCTTTATCCAATCCACTGTTGATGGGCACCTATATTGATTCCATAGCTTTACTCTTGTGAATAGTGCTGCAATGAACTTGCAAGTGTATGTGTCTTTTTGGTAGAGTTGTTTATTTTCTTTTGGATATACACCCGGTAATCGGATTCCTGGTCAAATGGCAGTTCTTTTTTAAGTTCCTTGAGAAATCTCCAAATTGCTTTTCCCAGTGGCTGAACTAATTTACATTCCCACTAACAGTGTGTAAGCATTTCCTTTTCTCCACAGCCTTGCCAGCATCTGTTGGTTTTTGACATTTTAGTAATAGCCATTATGACTGGTATGAGGTGGTATCTCATTGTGGTTTTGATTTTCATTTCTCTAATGATTAGTAATGAGCTTTTTTTCATGTTTCTTGCCCACTTGCATGTCTTCTTTTGAGAAGTGTCTTCATTTCCGTTGCTCATTCTTTATTTTTTTAAATTTAATTTAATTTTACTTTAAGTTCCAAGGTACATATGCAGAATGTGCAGGTCTGTTACATAGGTAAATGAGTAATGGTGGTCTGCTGCACCTATCAACCCATCTCCTAGGTATTAAGCCTGGCATGCATTAGGTATTTTTCCTCATGCTCTACCCTGCCCCACCCTCCCCCGACAGGCCCCAGTGTGTGTTGTTCCCACCTTGTGTACATGCGTTCTCATTGTTCACCTCCCATTTATAAGTGAGAACATGTGGTGTTTCGTTTTCTGTTCCTGCCTTAGTTTACCGAGAATAATGGCTTCCAGCTTCATCCATCTCCCTGCAAAGGTCAGGAACTCATTTCTTTTTATGGCTGCATAGTATTCCATGGTGTATATGTACCACATTTTCTTTATCCAGTCTATTATTGATGGGTATTTGGGTTGATTTCATGTCTTTGCTATTGTGAATAGTGGTGCAATTATTACACACATGCATGTATCTTTATAATAGAAAGATTTATATTCCTTTGGGTATTTATCCAGTAATGGGATTGCTGGGTCAAATGGTATTTCTGGTGCTAAATCTTTGTGGAATCTCCACACTGTCTTCCACAATGGTTGAACTAAGTTACATTCCCATCAACAGTGTAAAAGCATCCCTATTGCTCAGCAACCTCACCAGCATCTGTTGTTTCTTGACTTTTTAATAATTGCCATTCTGACTCACATGAGATGGCACTTCACTGTGATTTTTATATGCATTTCTCTAATAATCAGTGATGTTGAGTTTTTTTTCATATGCTTGTTGGCCACATGTATGTCCTCTTGCAAAGCGTCTGTTCATGTTCTTTCCCCAATTTTTAATGGGGTTGTTTTTTTTTCTTGTAAATTTACTTAAGTTCCTTGCAGATTCTGGATATTAGACCTTTGTCAGATGGATAGATTGCAAAAATTTTCTCCCATTCTGTGGGTCTTCTCTCACTACTCTTATTCAACATAGTATTGGAAGTTCTGGCCAGGACAATCAGGCAAGAGACAGAAATAAACGTATTCAAATAAGAAAAAAGAAAGTTAAATTGTCTTTGTTTGCAGACGACATAATCGTATATCTAGAAAACCCCACTGCCTCAGCCCAAAAGCTTCTTAAGCTGATATGCAACTTCAGCAAATGTCAGTATAAAAAATCAATGTGCAGAAATCACAAGCATTCCTATACACCAACAACAGAAAGGCAAACAGCCAAATCATGAATGAACTTCCATTCATAATTTCCACAAAGAAAATAAAATACCTAGGAATACAGCTAACAAGGGAAGTGAAGGACCTCTTCAAGGAGAACTACAAACCACTGCTCAAGGAAATCAGAGAGGACACAAACAGATGGAAAAACATTCCATGCTCATGGACAGGAAGAATCAATATCATGAAAATAGCAATAATGCCCAAAGCAATTGACAGATTCAATGTTATTTCTATTAAACTACCATTGGCATTCTTCAGAATTAGAAAAAAACTATTTTAAAATTAATATGGAACCAAAAAAGAGCTTGTATAGACAAGGCTATCCTAAGCAAAAAGAACAAAGCTGGTGGCATCACACTACCTGACTTCAAACAATACTACAAGACTTCAATAACCAAAACAGCATGGTACTGGTACAAAAACAGGCACATAGACCAATGGAATAGAATAGAGAACTCATAAATAAAACTGCACATCTACAACCATCTGATCTTCAACAAACCTGACAAAAACAAGCAATGGGGAAAGGATTCTCTATTTCATAAATGGTGCTGGGAGGACTGGTTAGCCATATGCACAAAATTGAAACTGGAACCTTTCTTATATCTTATACAAAAATTAACTCAAGATGAATTAAAGACTTAATGTAAAACCAAAACTATAAAAACCTTAGAAGAAAATCTAGGCAATACCATTCAGGACATAGGCATGGGCAAAGATTTTATGACAAAATCACCAAAAGTAACTGCAACAGAACCAAAAATTGACAAATAGGGGAATCTAATTAAACTAAAGAGCTTCTGCACAGCAAAAGAAACTATCATCAGAGTGAACAGACAACCTACAGAATGGGACAAAATTTTTGCCCATTTTTTAATGGAGTTGTATTCTGCCTGTTCAATTGTTTAAGTACCTTAGAGGTTCTGTATATTAGACCTTTGCCAGACACATATTTTGCAATTATTTTCTCTCATTTTGTAGGCTATCGATTTACTCTGGTGATAGTTTCTTTTGCTGTGCAGTAGCTCTTTTAGGCTCTACTTGTCAATTTTTGTTTTTGTTGCAATTGCTTTTGATAATTTGTCATAAATTTATTCCCAAGGCCCATGTTCAGAATGGTGTCTCCTAGGCTTTCTTCTAGGATTCTTATAGTTTAAGGTCTTACATTTAAATATGTAATCCATCTTGAGTTAATTTTTTTATGTGGTGAAAGATAAGAGTCCAGTTTCATTGTTCTGCATATGGCTATTCAGCTATGCCAACACCATTTATTGAATATGGAGTTCTTTTCCCATTGCTTACTTTTGTTGACTTCATTGAAAACCAAATGGTTGTAGTCATATGGCTTTATTTCTGAGTTTGCTATTCTGTTCCATTGGTGTTTGTGTCTATTTGTGTATAAGTGCCATGCTGCTTCAGTTACTCTAACCTTGTAGTATAGTTTGAAGTCAGGTAATGTGGTACCTCTAGTCTGTTACTTTTGCTTAGGATTGCTTTGGCTATTCTAGCTCTCTTTTTGTTGCATAAAAAATTTAGAATGGTTTTTTTTTCATTTCTGTGAAAAATGATGTTGGTAGCTTGATAGGAATAGGATTGGATCTGTAAATGGCTTTGGGCAGTATGGACATTTTAACAATATTGATTCTTCTAACTCATGAGCATGAAATGTTTTTTCCATTTGTTTTTGTCATGTATGAATTCTTTCAGCAGTGTTCTGTGGTTCGCATTTTAAAGATCTTTCATCTCCTTGATTAGAGGTATTTATTGGCATTATTTTTTGGTATGACTATTATAAACAAGATTGTGTTCTTTATTTGACTCTCAACTTGAACATTATTGGTGAATAGAAATGCTACTGATTTTTGTACATTGATTTTGTGTCCTGAACTTTACTGAAGTTTATTCTAGGTTCCTTTTGGCAGACTCTGTAGGGGTATCTAAATATAGAATCATTTCATCAGTGAAGAGGTTTGACTTCTTTTCCTGTTCAAATGCCTTTTATTTCTTTCTCTTGACTGATTGCTCTGGATAGGACATCTGGTACTATGTTGAGTAGGAGTACTACACCTTTGTCTTGTTCTCATTCTCAGGGGGAATGCTTATGGTTTTTGCCAATTAAGTATGTTGTTGGCTGTGGGCCATGGGGTTTTCATAGATGGCTCTTATTATAATACTTTGAGGTATGTTCCTTCAATACCTAGCTTCTTGAGGGTTTTTATTATGAAGGGATGTTGGATTTTATTGAAAGCTTTTCCTGAATCTACTGAGATGACCATATGGTTTTTGTTTTCAATTATATTTATGAGGTGAATTACATTTATTGATTTGTGTATGTTGAATTAACCTTGCATCCCAGGAATTAAGCCTACCTGATCATGGTGAATTACCTTTTTAATGTGTTGTTGGATTAGGCTTGCTAGTATTTTGTTGAGAATTTTTGTGTCTGTGTTCATCAGGGATATTGACCTTAATTTTTTTCATTATGTCTTTGCCAGATTTTGGTATTAGGGTGATGTTGGCTTCATAGAATCAGTTAAGGAGCAGTTCCTTCTACTCTATTTTTTTGTAATAAATTTAGTAGAATTGATATCAGCTCTTCTTTCCATGTCTGGTGGAATTCAGCTGTGAATTCATCTGGTCTGGGGCTAGGATTTTTATTACTGATTCAATTTCAGAGCTCAATACTGGTCTGTTCAGGATTTCAATTTCTTACTGGTTCAATCTTGGGAGACCGTATTTTCCAAGAATTTACCCATTTCCTACAGATTTTATAGTTGTGTGCACAGAAGCATTCTTTTGTGTTTCTGTGGGATCAGTTGTAATGTCACCTTTACCATTTCTGATTGTGCTTATTTGGATCTTGTCTCATTTTTTTTCTTTGTGGATCTAACTAGCAGTCTACCAATCTTGTTTTTCCTTTTGAAGAACCAACTTATAAAGATTAATTTTCTAAGATTTGGCATTGTTTTGAGAGGTATAGTTAGGTAAGAAAAATTAAGAGGACAAAGAATTGGAAAAAGAGTAAATATTCCTTAGGAAATTATGGTAGACACTATAGTTTGGTTGTCCCAGCACCCATTCCAATCTCTTTTCCCTTGGTTGTCTTTAACTCCAAGATATGTTATGTTAAAAACACATCTTCTCAGACTTATCTTCAAGTAGGAGAAACCATATAATAATCTGGCTAGTCAGACAAGTATCCCAGTATAAAATTCATAGCTATTTATGTAATTTCTGGGATTATTATCTATTTTCCAAACTTGACAGTCTAGGCTCTTACAGAGGATCTTACAAATTAAGAGCTAACCAGTATTCGTGTAATAATGATTACTCTGAATTAATTCCAGGCAAATGAAGCTCCATAAGAGACAATGTCCATTTTGACTCAACATTGTAGTATCAAGAATGAATTAATGAATAAGTAAGATAAAAAAGGCAAGGTGATGGCTGATGGAAGACAAAGACACAGAGATCATTGGAATACTACATAAAATGATGGTGAAAAATTGGAAGGAGGGATGAAACTAACAAAAAAGAGGTGTACAGCCTAGCCTGAGGAAGCCTCAGTTTGGAAAGTGGGTAAAATAACTTTTCTTAGATGTGGCATCTGAACTGGATGTTAAAGAATACATGGGGTTTAGTCAGATAAGGAGAAGAGAGAATAAATGTCTTTCTTGAGCAGTCATGAGACCCATTTTTAATTATTAGCAAAAATGGTTAAAAGGGAACAGTGAATGGCCTCAATGGCTCTTTCTAAGAGCTCAGTGAAAGAGTTTCAGCCTGAAAAGATGAAAAGCTTCTAGAGATAGATGGTGTTGATATTGCAGAATGATGTGAATGTACTCAATGTCACAGACTGTCCATTTAAAAATGGTTAAATAAGTTGGGCACAGTGATGAGTGCCTGTAGTTTTAGCGACTAGGAAGGCTGAGGTGGGAGAATTGCTTGAGATCAAGAGTTTGAGGCTGCAGTGTGCTATGATTGCACTTGTGAATAGCTACTGCACTCTCACCTGGGAAACACAGCAAGAAATTGTCTCTAAAAAAAGTTAAAATAATAATTTTTAAGTTATTTATATTTTACCACAGAAAAAAATTTTCCAAAAAAAAAAGTAACTCAATTGAACTGATTTGAGCTTGCTACATAACAGTTGCATTACTTTGGACATAGCCTTAAGCCTTTTAATCTACTTTCTTATTTGTAAAAAGGAGATACTATTCACGACCTCACAGGAATTAAGTATGATAACCAGAACATGACAAGTAGTAGATTCTATGGGTATAGAATTTGTTGGACTTACATAAGTTGAGAAAATGCCTCAGAGATGCTTAAATAGGTGTACTGTTTCTGCCATTGTCTTAATGAGTGTTGACAAGGACGTAGTGTAGGAGAGTAATTGTATGAATAGCTGATGATGATGAGAATTAAGTAGAGGGTTTAGTTTGACTATTTCCAAGAGTACAGAAGTGTTATCTCCACTCAGCTTTAGACCAAGAGTGTGCAAATATTGGATCCAAGTTTCCAGAAACATTTAACTTGAAAATAAAAATATACAATCGGAGGGAGGAGCCAAGATGGCCGAATAGGAACAGCCCTGGTCTACAGCTCCCAGCGTGAGCCACGCAGAAGAGGGGTGATTTCCGCATTTCCATCTGAGGTACCGGGTTCATCTCATTAGGGAGTGCCAGACAGTGGGCGCAGGTCAGTGGGTGCGCGCACCATGCACGAGCCGAAGCAGGGCGAGGCATTGCCTCACTCAGGAAGTGCGGGGGGTCAGGGAGTTCCCTTTCCTAGTCAAAGAAAGGGGTGACAGATGGCACCTGGAAGATCGGGTCACTCCCACCCGAATACTGCGCTTTTCCGACGGGCTTAAAAAACGGCGCACCAGGAGATTGTGTTCCGCACCTGGCTCGGAGGGTCCTACGCCCACGGAGGCTCACTGATTGCTAGCACAGCAGTCTGAGATCAAACTGCAAGGCTGCAGCGAGGCTGGGGGAGGGGCGCCCACCATTGCCCAGGCTTGCTTAGGTAAACAAAGCAGCCTGGAAGCTCAAACTGGGGGGAGCCCACCACAGCTCAAGGAGGCCTGCCTGCCTCTGTAGGCTCCACCTCTGGGGGCAGGGCACAGACAAACAAAAAGACAGCAGTAACCTCTGCAGACTTAAATGTCCCTGTCTGACACCTTTGAAGAGAGCAGTGGTTCTCCCAGCATGCAGGTGGAGATCTCAGAACGAGCAGACTGCCTACTCAAGTGGGTCCCTGACCCCTGATGCCTGAGCAGCCTAACTGGGAGGCACCCCCCAACAGGGGCAGACTGACACCTCACACAGCCGGGTACTCCAACAGATCTGCAGCTGAGGGTCCTGTCTGTTAGAAGGAAAACTAAAACAGAAAGCACATCCACACCAAAAACCCATCTGTACATCACCATCATCAAAGACCAAAAGTAGATAAAACCACAAAGACGGGGAAACAACAGAGCAGAACAACGGGATACTCTAAAAAGCAGAGCACCTCTCCTCCTCCAAAGGAACGCAGTTCCTCACCAGCAACGGAACAAAGCTGGACGGAGAATGACTTTGACAAGCTGAGAGAAGAAGGCTTCAGACGATCAAATTACTCCGAGCTACGGGAGGACATTCAAACCAAAGGCAAAGAAGTTGAAAACTTTGAAAAAAATTTAGAAGAATGTATAACTAATTCTAGTTATACCAATACAGAGAAGTGCTTAAAGGAGGTGATGGAGCTGAAAACCAAGGCTTGAGAACTACGTGAAGAATGCAGAAGCCTCAGGAGCCGATGCGATCAACTGGAAGAAAGGGTATCAGTGATGGAAGATGAAATGAATGAAATGAAGTGAGAAGGGAAGTTTAGAGAAAAAAGAATAAAAAGAAATGAGCAAAGCCTCCAAGAAATATGGGACTACGTGAAAGGACCAAATCTACGTCTGATTGGTGTACCTGAAAGTGACGGGGAGAATGGAACCAAGTTGGAAAACACTCTGCAGGATATTATCCAGGAGAACTTCCCCAATCTAGCAGGCAGGCCAACATTCAGATTCAGGAAACACAGAGAACGCCACAAAGATACTCCTCGAGAAGAGCAACTCCAAGACACATAATTGTCAGATTCAACAAAGTTGAAATGAAGGAAAAAATGTTAAGGACAGCCAGAGAGAAAGATCGGGTTACGCTCAAAGGGAAGCCCAACAGACTAACAGCAGATCTCCTGGCAGAAAGTCTACAAGGGAGAAGAGAGTGGGGGCCAATATTCAACATTCTTAAAGAAAAGAATTTTCAACCCGCAATTTCATATACAGCCAAACTAAGCTTCATAAGTGAAGGAGAAATAAAATACTTTACAGACAAGCAAATGCTGAGAGATTTTGTCACCACCAGGCCTGCCCTAAAAGAGCTCCTGAAGGAAGCGCTAAACGTGGAAAGGAACAACCAATACCAGCCGCTGCAAAATCATGCCAAAATGTAAAGACCATCAAGACTAGGAATAAACTGCATCAACTAACGAGCAAAATAACCAGCTAACATCATAATGACAGGATCAAATTCACACATAACCATATTAACTTTAAATGTAAATGGACTAAATGCTCCAATTAAAAGACACAGACTGGCAAATTGGATAAACAGTCAAGACCCATCAGTGTGCTGTATTCAGGAAACCCATCTCACGTGCTGAGACACATATAGGCTCAAAATAAAGGGATGGAGGAAGATCTACCAAGCAAATGGAAAACAAAAAAAGGCAGGGGTTGCAATCCTAGTCTCTGATAAAACAGACTTTAAACCAACAAAGATCAAAAGAGACAAAGAAGGCCATTACATAATGGTAAAAGGATCAATTCAACAAGAAGAACTAACTATCCTAAATATATATGCACCCAATACAGGAGCACACAGATTCATAAAGCAAGTCCTGAGTGACCTACAAAGGGACTTAGATTCCCACACATTAATAATGGGAGACTTTAACACCCCACTGTCAACATTAGACAGATCAACCAGACAGAAAGTCAACAAGGATACCCAGGAATTGAACACAGCTCTGCACAAAGCAGACCTAATAGACATCTACAGAACTCTCCACCCCAAATCAACAGAATATACATTTTTTTCAGCACCACACCACACCTATTCCAAAATTGACCACATACTTGGAAGTAAAGCTCTCCTCAGCAAATGTAAAAGAACAGTAACTATAACAAACTATCTCTCAGACCACAGTGCAATCAAACTAGAACTCAGGATTAAGAATCTCACTCAAAACCGCTCAACTACATGGAAACTGAACAACCTGCTCCTGAATGACTACTGGGTACATAACAAAATGAAGGCAGAAATATGTTCTTTGAAACCAACGAGAATAAAGACACAACATACCAGAATCTCTGGGATGCATTCAAAGCAGTGTGTAGAGGGAAATTAATAGCACTAAATGCCCACAAGAGAAAGCAGGAAAGATCCAAAATTGACACCCTAACATCACAATTAAAAGAACTAGAAAAGCAAGAGCAAACACATTCAAAAGCTAGCAGAAGGCAAGAAATAACTAAAATCAGAGCAGAACTGAAGGAAATAGAGAAACAAAAAAACCCTTCAAAAAATTGATGAATCCAGGAACTGGTTCATTGAAAGGATAAACAAAATTGATAGACCGCTAGCAAGACTAATAAAGAAAAAAAGAGACAAGAATCAAATAGACGCAATAAAAAATGATAAAGGGGATATCACCACCGATCCCACAGAAATACAAACTACCATCAGAGAATACTACAAACACCTCTACGCAAATAAACTAGAAAATCTGGAAGAAATGGATAAATTCCTGGACACTCTCCCAAGACTAAACCAGTAAGAAGTTGAATCTCTGAATAGACCAATAACAGGATCTGAAATTGTGGCAATAATCAATAGCTTACCAACCAAAAAGAGATGGATTCACAGCCAAATTCTACCAGAGGTACAAGCAGGAGCTGGTACCATTCCTTCTGAAACTATTCCAATCAATAGAAAAAGAAGGAATCCTCCCTAACTCATTTTATGAGGCCAGCATCATTCTGATACCAAAGCCTGGCAGAGACACAACCAAAAAAGAGAATTTTAGACCAATATCCTTGATGAACATTGATGCAAAAATACTCAATAAAATACTGGCAAAACGAATCCAGCATCACATCAAAAAGCTTATCCACCATGATCAAGTGGGCTTCATCCCTGGGATGCAAGGCTGGTTCAATATACGCAAATCAATAAATGTAATCCAGCATATAAACACAGCCAAAGACAAAAACCACATGATTATCTCAATAGATGCAGAAAAGGCCTTTGACAAAATTCAACAACCCTTCATGCTAAAAACTCTCAATACATTAGGTATTGATGGGACGTATCTCAAAATAATAAGAGCTATCTATGACAAACCCACAGCTAATATCATACTGAATGGGCAAAAACTGGAAGCATTCCCTTTGAAAACTGGCACAAGACAGGGATGCCCTCTCTCACCACTCCTATTCAACATAGTGTTGGAAGTTCTGGCCAGGGCAATTAGGCAGGAGAAGGAAATAAAGGGTATTCAATTAGGAAAAGAGGAAGTCAAATTGTCCCTGTTTGCAGACGACATGATTGTATATCTAGAAAACCCCACTGACTCAGCCCAAAATCTCCTTAAGCTGATAAGCAACTTCAGCAAAGTCTCAGGATACAAAATCAATGTACAAAAATCACAAGCATTCTTATACACCAACAACAAACAGAGAGCCAAATCATGAGTGAACTCCCATTCACAATTGCTTCAAACAGAATAAAATACTTAGGAATCCAACTTACAAGGGATGTGAAGGACCTCTTCAAGGAGAACTACAAACCACTGCTCAAGGAAATAAAAGAGGATACAAACAAATGGAAGAACATTCCATGCTCATGGGTAGGAAGAATCAATATCGTGAAAATGGCCATACTGCCCAAGGTAATTTACAGATTCAATGCCATCCCCATCAAGCTACCAGTGACTTTCTTCACAGAATTGGAAAAAACTACTTTAAAGTTCATGTGGAACCAAAAAAGAGCCCGCGTCGCCAAGTCAATCCTAAGCCAAAAGAACAAAGCTGGAGTCATCATGCTACCTGACTTCAAACTATACTACAAGGCTGCAGTAACCAAAACAGCATGGTACTGGTACCAAAACAGAGATATAGATCAATGGAACAGAACAGAGCCCTCAGAAATAACGCCGCATATCTGCAACTATCTGATCTTTGACAAACCTGAGAAAAACAAGCAATGGGGAAAGGATTCCCTATTTAATAAATGGTGCTGGGAAAACTGGCTAGCCATATGTAGAAAGCTGAAACTGGATCCCTTCCTTACACCTTATACAAAAATCAATTCAAGATGGATTAAAGACTTAAACGTTAGACCTAAAACCATAAAAACTCTAGAAGAAAACCTAGGCAATACCATTCAGGACCTAGGCATGGGCAAGGACTTCATGTCTAAAACACCAAAAGCAATGGCAACAAAAGACAAAATTGACAAATGGGATCTAATTAAACTAAAGAGCTTCTGTACAGCAAAAGAAACTACCATCAGAGTGAACAGGCAACCTACAAAATGGGAGAAAATTTTTGCAACCTACTCATCTGACAAAGGGCTAATATCCAGAATCTACAATGAACTCAAACAAATTTACAAGAAAAAAAAAACAACCCCATCAAAAAGTGGGCAAAGTACATGAACAGACACTTCTCAAAAGAAGACATTTATGCAGCCAAAAAACACGTGAAAAAATGCTCACCATCACTGGCCATCAGAGAAATGCAAATCAAAACCACAATGAGATACCATCTCACACCAGATAGAATGGCAATCATTAAAAAGTCAGGAAACAACAGGTGCTGGAGAGGATGTGGAGAAATAGGAACACTTTTACACTGTTGGTGGGACTGTAAACTAGTTCGACCATTGTGGAAGTCAGTGTGGCGATTCCTCAGGGATCTAGAACTAGAAATACCATTTAACCCAGCCATCCCATTACTGGGTATATACCCAAAGGACTATAAATCATTCTGCTAGAAAGACACATGCACACGTATGTTTATTGCGGTACTATTCACAATAGCAAAGACTTGGAACCAACCCAAATGTCCAACAATGATAGACTGGATTAAGAAAATGTGGCACATATACACCATGGAATACTATGAAGCCATAAAAAATGATGAGTTCACGTCCTTTGTAGGGACATGGATGAAATTGGAAATCATCATTCTCAGTAAACTATCGCAAGAACAAAAAAACCAAACACCACATATTCTCATTCATAGGTGGGAATTGAACAATGAGATCACATGGACACAGGAAGGGGAACATCACACTCTGGGGACTGTTGTGGGGTGGGGGGAGGGGGGAGGGAGAGCATTGGGAGATATACCTAATGCTAGATGACGAGTTGGTGGGTTCAGCGCACCAGCATGGCACATGTATACATATGTAACTAACCTGCACAATGTGCACATGTATCCTAAAACTTAAAGTATAATAATAAAAGAAAAAAAAAGAAAAATGTACCATCATATATTTTTGTTACAATTTTTTTTCTCTTTTAAAACTAGGTCCTATTCCTCAAAGTCATGATCTATAGTGCAGTTTATAACAGATACAAAATCTGGACCTGGAATGCATATCAACTTACATTTCCCTGAATAATGCTATCCTCACTGGTTGAAAGACACGATGGTGGGGAGGGGATGTAAATTTGAAAGGTACACAGTGCACATCTGTTTGAAGCTGTTTCTTAGTGGAATCAAAATGTGCATAAACCCACCTCCCATGGTTTTATTCACCAATATTTGTTCAGGAGAACTTTTTATAAAGCAAAATTATGAGAAAAGAGTAATGTGACACTCTCATTATATGAGTTATGTAGCATCCAAAATAAGAAAGAATACAAGTTTGCATTAATTCTATGGTCATTTTTATGTATTTGTATTTACTACACATCCACAGAACAGACATTAATCTAGTAGGAGCTTCTCAGGTTCTATATTCTTCATGTTTGCTAAGTCAAACTCAGATTTAAAAACTGAAAGCAATTTTAGAATTTCTCAATGTTTGCATGGCACTGTGAATTAATGGGGCAGTTAGGAGAGTGAATTAATGTGCCATTTTGCCATTTTTAAAGAATTGTAGACAATAAACACATAAACTTGAAAGCAAGAAGAAAATAAGTTCTTGATAAAATGACTCTCCAATCATTTGTTCCACCATCACTCTTTAGTAATAGCAGCTACAAATTTAATATAATTGTCATATCTCTACTGTAACAAGAGAGAAACTGCCAGAAACAGTGAGAAGAAGAGAACAGGAGTAAAACAGGGACCTAGAAACTCTCAATCGTGTCTGAGCATCCACCATGGGCACTCCATACCCCAGGAAACAGGTATAAGCTTGGAAAACAAGGCCAGGCACCAATTCACATGGTCTAATCTAGGTCAGAATTTGGCCCAGCTGGTGTCCACAAGTGTGCACGTGCTTGCTTTATTATTTACATAGCTCTCTTGCAAATATATGGTGGCAGAAGGGAGATAGCTCAGGGTTCAGGGCCATGTGAGTCCCACCTAAATATTATTAAAATGTATCCTATAGTGTATGTGTGCACTAGTGGTAAACAGTGTATAGAAAGCAGATCAAATTGAATGGGAATGAGTTCCTGTACGGTTAAGAGGATATTATGAATTCAGTTGCATGTACTACTAATAATAATAACAATAACAACAAATTTAAAAATAAAGGGAAACTACATTTACATGTTCACCATGCAGCAGATACTGTGTTGAATGCTAGGAGTACAGGGGAAGACGAATGACCTGGTCCTGCCACCAAGAGTTTAGATCCAATGATAAATGATTTCAATGGGTAAATTCTGAGTACTTTAGAGTCAAAAGAGAGCTATTTAACCCAATAAAGTAGTTCAGGGAAAGCTTCCTGGAGAAGAGGATTCCTGAATTGAGTTCTGAATTTATCTGAATAAGGATAAGCAACAAGGGGAATAAAAAAGCATAAGGTGGGTAAAACAATATAGCTGCAAGTCATTATTACCAAGGTTTGAAGTTTGAGTTAAGAAGTGGAGGTTGAGTTAGAAGGCAGGTCATTAGCGGCTTGTGTTGCTGCACAAAGTAGATTGAACTTTATATTGTACAGGAGTAAAGGCGGTTTGCCAGGGCCCCTGAGCATCCCTTCATGTGCTTGCTAAGTGTATCTGATTGCAAGGCTGATTCATCTCCAGAAGATATTGAGCAATTTCTATAGTTAGTCACCTAAGCAAATACATAAGTCAAGGCAACTGCAGTTTAACTACTGTGCTCACACCATAGTGGGCAAGAGGGGCTTGCTTGTTTGCTTCCTGATGCACCATGTGCTGTTGCTCCGAAAACTCTGGGTTCCTCAACTGAGAGGCAAGCCCATTGCACATGGGTAGCATTCACCCAGGCCCATTTTGTCACTCTGGGTGGGTTTGGAACAAGCAGAATTGATGCAGATATGCTGATGCTGATGCTGCTTGCTGGACCATATGTATTAAAGTCCTTTATCTTGACTCTAGAGTCTTCTGCTAATGTCCAAAATCATGGCAAACTAACTTATAAGTTTGCAAGTAGGAGTAAAATCTCACACTCTTCACAGTCCCTGACACTTGATTGCAACAGTAAGAGTAGATTTGAGCCAGGCATTGTTTCTCAGCCTTGGAACTACTGATACTTTGGGATGGAAAATTTTTTGCTGTATTATAGGATATTTAACAGTATCCCTGTTCTCTACCAACTAAATTCTAGTAACACCTTGCCAATGTAACAACCAAAAATGTCTCCAAACATTGCCAAATATCCCCCAGGGGGACATTTTTAAGAAATACTGGAGAAGATAAAGACCAGAGTTAGAGGGCTCCTCTGAGAGAACACTGCAATATCTACAACAAAGGCTTGAAGTAGGAGGGTCGTAATATGGTTCAATTAGAGAAAAAAACTCAAGAACAGGTATGAGGTCTAATTAACATGTGTCATCAGTATAGCAAAGAAACATGTCTAGGAAAAGCCCTGTCTATTAATATCTCTTTGGTCTATACTGTGGCATAGCTGGTAGTTAAATTAGCCCTGGGGTAAGATCATAAATGTGTGCAGCTGTCTATCATGGGATAAAGCAAACTGCTTTCAGTCCTTTTTTTCTGATAGAGATTGGGGAAAAAATGATCTTAGCAGATCTATAGCCACATTCTAAGTTCTAGGGGGTATAGTGATCTATTTTAGTAGAGATGCCATATCCACCGCAGCAACTGCAACTCAAGTAGCCCTTTGGTTACCTTTATGATATTCTGCCAACATCTATTATCATACATTTGTTTTTAGAGGGGCTTGGCTTGCTAATTTAGTGGAGATATGGTAGGTATCACAACCTTTGTATTGTTTGAGTTTTAAAGAGAGCACTAATTATATACCAAATCCTTTTGAACTGAAATTCAATTTTTGATTTACAATCTTGGTCAGAATCAGGGTATTCGAACCGTTAGTTGCTTCCACTTTCATTTTTGTACCATGATAACTCTCTCCACAGTTTATGGAACCAACATGAATGTTGTGCTGGCTGATAAGTATAACCATTCCTATTATGCACTCAGAGTTCAAGGAAATGGCCTGAGGTTTGGTCCATCAACCTATTTGGCATTTGTGAAATGTGCTTGCAACCAAGACGTCATTATTACTGGGCCTCCATATGCCCTAATTCTAAAGCAAGGTATGGGATCACAATGATGTTTGGGGATCCTATGAATCAATGTCAGCCTAACTCATGTATCCAACAATCCTCAAAAAAATGAGTACTGCTACTTCCTCAAAGTCAACTTATTCTGATCAATGGACAGAGGTCCCTTTGCAGAAAGACTGGGTTAATTGCTAAGACATGCTATGAGATAATAGGATCTTTTCCCAAAGGGAACAGTATCCCTTTCATTCAATACACTTTGAGTTTGAGAACTGGGTCAAGTCTGGAACTTAGGTAAAGAATTATAATTACTCAATATAGCAAATGAGTTTAAGTCTCTTTTCCTTGTTCGTGATATTTTCTGGTCATATAAGGCAAGAAGCAACCTTGCCTTGGGATGGTTGCTGTTTAACTATCCCAAGCTTATAGTCACTATAATCTTAATCAAAACCATGCACTTCTGTCAGTCAAGGTTCCCCAAATGCCATTCTGTCCATCCTCCTTTCTATTGTAGTTTCTTGGCTGTCATCTGATTTCTGTTATATGGAATTCCTATTATCTGCATTGACACCAGGAGCTCAGATTTATAGCAGTCCCCTACTAGCCTCTCAATAATGCATGTGTTCCCTTCACTGATGTATTCATATTGCTTTAGTAAAGAGCATATTAGCTGAGATCTGCCAAAACACATATTCAACTGTTGTGTACTCTGCTCTAACATCATTAAACAATTATAGCATGCCAATTCTCAGAGACTTTGGACCTCTTCTCAATACTTTTCTAAGGAAGTCTCACAGTTCTACCTCATTACTATGAGCCACTCTTCCAAAACTTCAAAGAGGCTTGACAGAAATGGAACAAGGTAGTTTACAATTCTCTGTGTTCTGAATCCTAAGTCATGAGAAGGTGCCCCCATTTCAACATACTTTACCCTATTTTATATTCTGCCTTACCTGGAATCCAGCAATTTTAATATCTATTCTCAGACATGATTTTCTAGTTCTTGTTATTTAGATCTGCAGCTTTTTTGGTAAATAGTCCCTTTCATTCTGTAACAGGAATAATACTTCCCTACTTAGGCCACTACTTTCCTGCTAAGCCAATACTTTCCTTATAACCCTAGTTATTGGTTTGGAGGCAACAAGGAAATTCAAGGGCTGATTTAGATGAAAAAAAAGCATTATCTTGTAAAAACTTGGGCTCGAATGAAGTCATTGTGGGGTATCCAGATGCTGGGCAACCATTCTTTTCTAAGGGGGAAGGGGAAAGGAGTCATTTGGCCCATGGGGTTGAGTAGAATTTCGGGGTCCAAATATTCTCGAGGGCATCCACCCAAATATTCTTTCCCCAGGACTCAGGGCTCCACTACTTTCCTGTCAAGATTCTGATATTAGTGTATGCAATTTGCCAGCACTATGAATTCAACCTCCTTTATTAATATGCTTCTCTTACTATTAATACTTGAATCTGATTTATACCAGAATCCATTCTCTGGCTATATGAAATAAGTGTCTCTTTAGATACCATCATGGAAGTTATGCTTTGAGTTGACAGATGAACTGAAACTTTCATCTTCTTTCTTCAATATTTTAATGGCAATTCATAGCCAACAATATTTCAACCCTTATGATTATTGTTTCCACATGATTCAAGTACTGGAGATATTGCATGAATCACTGCATCTCCTACATTTACACAATCCTAGTTCCTTAAAATAAAAGATTTAGTAATTTTGATATGACAGTGAGACAGAAATGATCACCTCTCCAAAGACCACAGGGAATAGGGCACTTGTTACAACCTGGCTATCAGTGGTTTCCAAAATCTTATCCTAAGGACCTGTATGCTAAGACTACTTCTGGTACCCCTTATCACAATTTGGATTTTTCAGCAAGCAGATTCTGAAACAAAGATTTAATAAAAGTAGTTTTTTGGGAGGTGAACCAGAAAGCACTCGTAGAAGGGTGGAAAAATGACATAGGAAAGGGAAGAAAGCCAAGAAAGGATGCTGCTATGTGGAGTACATAGGGCTCAATCCTAGTGCAAAAGGCATGTGAGGCTCAATCCTAGCAGAAACTGAGTAACAGTGTAGCATGTACCTTGAGGTTAACTCATCTGACAGGCCAGTGAACTGTGATACTTTTCCACCATTTCCCATCAGTCAGTCATTGATTGAGGGCTGCTCATGGGAGAGAGGTGAATACATGTCAACTACCCAACAATACAAGCCTGCCTGGCTCACAGATGAAGAAGGATATGGACATCAGAAAAGGCCCTTAGGTAAGAAGTTGTAGGTACATCCACATGAAAGATACCTGGTCATTATGCAAAGGAATAGTGAGAACTAAGGAAATATGAATAGCCCATCTTCAGTGTTTTCTACCTTTGGTCATTCTAAGGCTACAAAATATCCTCACTTCTGTACTTAAAATGGCCAGTCCCATGTAATACTCAACACTTGCAATGTGAATCAAAGTTATCACCTTCTTCTTGGAAAGTGATCAGCATTTACTTTCTTTCTATCCCATCTCCTTTTCTCATGCTATTTTGCTGACTCCAGTTTCTGACCCTTTCAAGAGTCGGAGAATGAAAGAGAGGAGAATTAGAAGAGACTGGAAAGTTCTGACTTGTCTGGAACTGTCATATGCTGGTGTCAAGTGTTCTCTAGACCTGGCCAATATATAAAGCCTGTTTTTTTTTTTTTTTTTTTTTCTCAAAGGCACTCTTGTGGATTCTTTGGGACCCCTGCCCCCTCATTTCCTATTATTCAATCTTTTCTGAGTCTTCTGACTCTTTTCTTCTCTGCAGGCTCAAGAAATCCTTGGCCATAGTACCTCTGTCCTGAGGCTTATTTATGTCTCGATGAGGCCCTATTATGTAAGATTTAAGATCACTCCAACCTTTTTTCTTCCCTGGCAGGTGTAGACTTCATCTGTCCACAGAAATCTTTCCTGATCTTTTTACCCTGCCAAACTCTGAAAATGCAGGTCACTCATGCAGCCATCTGTCCTTTCTCCCACTACTGAGGCAGGAAACCAGTCCACTTCTTGCCTTTTAGATATTCCTTTATGGGAGCTGGACGTCAGACCCCTGTATCCCTCCAACTGCAAGATACATATGTGCAACTCTTTGAATGGTCTTATTGAAGTTTCTCTTACCAGGTGTGATGGTTAATATTGAGTGTCAACTTGATTGGGTTGAAGGATGCAAAGTATTGTTCCTGGTGTGTCTGTGAGGGTGTTGCTGAAAAAGATTAACATTTTAGTCAGTGGACTGGGAAAGGCAAACCCAACCTCAATCTGGGTGGGCACCATCTAATCAGCTGCCAGTGTGGCTACAAAAAAAGCAGGCAGAAGAACGTGGAAGGACTAGACTGGCTGAGTCTTCCTGCCTTCATCTTTCTGCCATGCTGGATGCTTCCTGCCCTCAAACATGGGACTTCAAGTTCTTCAGCTTTTGGACTCCTGGGCCTACACTGGTGGCTTGCCAGGGGCTCTCAGGCCTTTGGCCATAAACTGAAGGCTGCACTGTTGGCTTCCCTACTTTTAAGGTTTTGATCTCAGACTGGCTTCCTTGCTCCTCAGCTTGCAGACGGCCTATTGTGAGACTTCACCTTGTGATCGTATGAGTCAATATTCCTTAATAAACTCATTTTCATATATACATCTATCTTATTAGTCTTCTCCCTCTAGAGAACCCTAACTAATACACCAGGCTTAAGGCAATGAGCAGAAATATCTGACCTCTTTTCCAGGGTGACAGAGGAGACTTCTCCAGAACATCCTCTCAACAAACTGTCTCCAAATCTCTTTACTCAACTCTATACACCCAAGATGTGTATAAAGAATTTAAGAATTATCCAATAAATATGTATTCACCTACTTCTGGAAAACCCTCCATGGTTGTCTATCATATAATTCACTGTGGCTTCTGATCTCTATTGTCATCAGACCTCAAAAAAAAATTGAGACAAGAAGATTCCATTTTAACAGCTTAGTATAGAGATTTTAAAAATCAAACAATTCCTGGAAACTCAAAATATGGTTACAGAAATAAATGTAATACCTACTCATTTTAGAAAAAAAATAGGGGAAAAAGAAAATATAGAAACAGTAGACAAAGAGGAAAATACGTCCCATAACTCTGGTAACCACAGGCTACCAATAATTTATCATTTTGATTTACTTCTACCCAGTTAGTCTTTATTCCATGTATATGGTTCTTTATATATTATGGCAAATACTCTATTTACAAATTCTCATTGAGACTAACTCCTGGCATCTTCCATAATACTATTTTAAACATTTCAAAAACAGGCTTAATACAGATAAACTAGCCCAATGGAGAGATATACTGCAATTTATTTCACTTTTTCCCCTATTGTTAACGTTAAGATTGGCTCGAAATTTTAGTAATCAATACCATAAGCACTTTTCCCTACTAACATTTTCCTTTGGGCTTAGGATTTAGTCACAGAGGCACAGTTGTTGGCTTCAAGGGAAATCTCAATATGTAAAGGCCTCTCACTGGTCTAAACCCAGACATCCTCACTGTTGTTTTATCCTGGCAGGATAAATTTTGAAAAGGCTGAAAAAGGGTCAGAATAGATCAGAGGCCAAGCCTCCAGTCTAGTGGACACTTCCGAGGCCTTTGAAAAAATGTGGAGGAGCCCAGGGCACAAGGATGCTCACCTCTGGCAGGTAATTTCATAAGATGATTTTGGCTAAAATATCTTATTTGTTTTATAGAATTGAAGTCAGAAGTACCATTAGAGACCCAGTTCCTTAGTTTAAGACAGTGGTAAAAACCTCAAAAGCTTATAGATCACTCAGGCCACATAAAGAAATTAAATGGGCTGATTGGGTCTGCAGCAAACTAGAGAGCTTGTGCCTGATTTCAGGTAAGAAAGCACTGCTCATCCTCAGATAGGCTTATCAGAGTTTACAAACAAAGGTACAGGATCCCCAGTGAAATTAGAAATTCAGATAAACAAGGGTTGTTTTTCAGAATAAGTATGCCCCAAATATTACACAGAACACACTTGTCCTAAAACATTATTTTTTGTTTACTGAAATTCTAATTTAACTTAGTATTCTGTATTTTACCTGATAACCCTAGCCTCACCTTACTGTTACCATCTGGGAGGCGGAGGCCAGGATTGCTCGATCTTCAGTTCTTTCAAGAGCTAACAGAAATCTGAAGTTTCTTGTGAAATCTCCTTATTTCTAAATTCTAGCAATTAGTTTAAAATGTTTTAAAAACAAATCTGGGGGCCAGATGATGGCAGTATGCCATTAGTTAAGGACCTCTGATATTAGATAATGATCCACAATCCAGACTAAAACATATGTACCACTCAAACAGTTACAATGCATGTTAATCATATCTTCTTCATGCCAGTGATTGTCTAAGAGCAGGTGTGTACAGGAGGAAGATGGGAAAAAAAAAACAAATATGTGGTTACAAGACTATCAGAGGAAGTTGGAAAAGTGAAGGAAAGGTTGGGGTATTTTTGGAAAAAAAGAGACTGAATACCACATAAAAACTCTTCCTACCTGAATATTTTGAATAGAGCTTCCCCTGTGGCCTAGAAAAATCAAGTATGTCCTTGAAATTCAAATATAATTCATTAACCATAGTCACATGAACCATTTTAAGGTAATACTAAAAAAAAAAAAAACATTTTTTTTTATTTACTTAAACCCCACATGGAAGAGCCTCCAAAGAAAAAGAAAGTTAACTAGAGGTAATATTTACTAGAATAAAATTAACTGTAGCTTCATTTTTAGCTTCTGTTTGTTAGTTAAACATGTTTATGTTTCTTCAATACTAAAACTGAGACTGAAAAAGTCTTCTATATCTCTACTAAGCAATAATTATTACCTCTGAAGGTGTGCAACTCTCAACTTCCTAACGAAAATAAAATAATGGCTTCCCAATCAGTTGTGGAAAGGAGACGTTTAGAGAGTTACCATGAAGCACTTCCCAAAAAACGCCATTAAAAATGATGACTATAGGTAGCTGAGCATTTTGCTGCTGCTAAATTGAATTCAGTGGATAGGTGGAAAAGATTTCATTTATTTGATACCAAGCCTAGATGCATGCATATAAATTGTCTGGCATGTACAGTATTATGAGTCGAACAGTTTTGCTCCTGTAAAATAATTCTAGATGCAGAGTTTCCTGGATGTAATTTCCAGAGTTTTATATTCATCATATAGAATTTAATTCTTATTTTTGCTAGGAATATAACTACAATGTATATGCTGTAACAAAAAGGAGTGAGATTACTATCTTTACCTTAGATCTGAGGCTTCAGTTCTGAGCTGAATTCCATATGTCCTAGCGAGTTGTTTAATTTTTAAATCAATGACTGAGTATAAATATATAACAGTCAGGGATGATATTAAAAATGTTCAAGCTTACCTATGGCATAAATACTGACCAACCAGAATGGACACCAACTCAATCAAAATAGATATTTGTTGTTTTAAAAAAGTTGTATTTCTATACCAGTATACCACACTACACACAATCCAGAGAGACGCCTTAGAACGAAGAAAAAAAGGAGATCAGTCTCTGCCTTCAAGAACATCAGTTGTTTCCTATAACTGATGTTTATATTAGAAGGCAACCTCTCTGATTATCGTTTAATTCACTTATGATTTAATTCAATGGTCCATAGGGATAAGGGTCAGGGAAGAACAGAGAGGAAAAACCTAGAAAGTGAGGCTTCACAACCATTCAGTTTCTTCTTGCCCATTGTTAGGGGCAATAAGCTAGAGTAGTTTGCAAAACAGGTGTCAGTGTTCCCCTCCTAGTAGTCATGCTCCTTTCTAACATAATTTTGAGGCTTCTCCAATCAAGAGGATGCTATTTCACTTCTTTTTGAATTTGGGCTGGCCTTGTGATTTTCTTTGGCCAATAGTGAAAATGTACAAATTCTGAGTCCCAGCCCCAAGAAGTATTCATGCTTCCAAGGTTTTACTTCAGAACTTGCTTCCATCATGCAAACAAGACTGAGTTGCTTGTTAGATGATGATGGCACATGGTGCAGTCACTGCTGTGGCTCCAGTTGAACATCCAGGTTACCACGGATACATGAAGAAGCTCAACCAAGATGAATCGTGGCCAGATTAGCAAAGACACTCAGCTGACACTTAGACTTGTGAGATATGATAAATGATTATTAAGTCACAAGTATTTGGGATGGCTTGTTATGTATCAATAAAAAAAATACAGTTGGTCTGGCTAATTAGGGGAAAAAAAACAAAAGCCAGGGTTTTTGTTTAACAGATAAGAATGAGGTATACTAACATCCCAGGAGTGTCAGGAATACATCAGAAATGCAACCCAATTCTGTTCAATTTTATAGAGCTGAGATTGACAAAAATGTAGCTGTTTGAATAAAAAGGAAGAGAGGATTGCAAAGATTGTCTTTGTGTCATATTACAGAAAAAAATGGAGAAATAATTTTGCAATATATAGCCTCTATATTGTTTTTCTCATTAACGTTACAGATAAAAATAGATAGAAACCAGACCTCTAGGAATCTTCTTTTCATTGCATGTCCCAATGTACTCTGTGAAAAGCTTCTAAAATTGAAATGGACCTAATAAAAACATATATCTTAAAAGATATTTTAAATAAATATGTATCCACGGTGTCAATTTAAATGTCAACTTACTAAAGATCACTAGGGAAAGAAACTGACCTTTCTCTTCATTTAAATGGAAATATTTGGGTCCATATGGGACTTTTGATTTAAATGTCATTGATTTGCAACAAATGATAACAAGAATTCTGGCATCGAATATTTTTAGAAATATTATTTATATATAATATTATCTATATTATATATAATATTATATTATCTATATTATCTATAATATTATATTATCTATATTATATATAATATTATCTGTATTATTATAATATAGATGATATTTCTAGAATGCCAAGACAGTACATAATTAGAGCTGAGAAGTTAACATTGAGGGGTAAATACTGCATAAGGTTAAGGATAATAAGAAGGCTGAACTTCAGAAAAGATCATAGTGACTGTTATTTCAGAAGAATTACAAATGAGATGGACATTACTGATTCATAATGCCCTTGGATCCTGACAAGATGGTCAGCTAGCACTCCTCTAAAATCAGCCCTGGAGAAACTGCACAAGTAAGGCAGAAACGTGGATCTGAGGAACTAACATTAAAAGAATGAAAAGCCCCTGGGAAACCAATGAAAAAAGAATAAAACAAAAGACTCCCGAACTACTGTACCTGTATGTGTGTGTCTGTACATAGGTGTGCAGGGTGTCAGGGGTGATGAGAATAATGGAAAAAGCCTATTGGCAAAGTGGCCTTACCAACTTGCGAAAGGAGAGGATGGGACAGCGTATGTAAATTCTGTTCTTGCTTATACCTCAAGGTCTCTTGAAACAAGCATATCCTGTCACTCATAGATATCAATAGTAATAGTGGAGTCAGCAGAGAAATATCAGGCAGCTGGAAGGCCTGTGGGGTGAGGAACTAATGAAAGTAGGTTCAGGTTAATCTGCCCTCCGTCATTCACTCTACCAATGAACCTCACAATGGAGAGCCAGTAGATCAAAACCCATGGAGTTTCTTTCTTCATGATATTCCCCAACCAGATGAGCTGCCTAATATCATGGAAGCAAGCAGGAGTGGATCTAGGGAGTTCTGTGGTATGTGGGGCGATTGGACTCATTACCTACTAGACATTTCTTCTTGAATGTGTCATTAGTCACCTTAGTCTTCGTATGTCCAAAATAGAATTTGTCTTCTTAAAATCTGCCTCTCCTTATTTTGTTTTTTTATATGGAACTATCACCCATATAGCTTTTGAAGCCAGAAATTTGAGAGCCATCCTATATACCATTTGTTCCTAAATTGTATCACTTTTTCCTGCTAAATGTTCATTCTCTCCATTCCCACTACTAGGTCCTTAGATATACAATTTTAATTTATATCATGCCATATATAACTTATATAGCACCATATATAACTTTATAGCACCATATATAATTTTGCTACTGGGCTATTACTGCGCCTGACTCTATTATCACCAGAATGTGCTTCCTAAAACAAAAATCTGATTACATAGCAGAATAAAACCTTAAAAGTTTTCTTATCCATCACATTTCTAGTTTTTATGTTCAATCATAAACCATTCCACACAGGTAAAAACTTATATTTTTAAATGACATGCAGAGAAAAAAAATTGCCTATGCCAGTACTTAACCATCTGTGTTCTTAAGACTATTTCCTTTATTAAAATCATGCCCTTTGTAATACTATTTGAAGATCTCCCACTGTCTCAATTTATATAATTAAACCTTCTTAATCAATGATTCTGAATTATCTAGTATGTGATATAATAATGTATTAATTTTCCTCATTCATAGCCTAGATATCCCCCCCTCCCCATTTCTTTTTTTTTTCTTTTTTTTTATTTTTATTTTTTTTGAGATGGAGTCTTGCTCTGTCTCCCAGGCTGGAGTGCAGTGGCGTGATCTCGGCTTACTGCAAGCTCCGCCTCCCGGGTTCACGCCATTCTCCTGCCTCAGCCTCCCGAGCAGCTGGGACTACAGGCGCCCACCACCACGCCCGGCTAATTTTTTGTATCTTTAGTAGAGACGGGGTTTCACCGTTTTAGCCAGGATGGTCTCGATCTCCTGACCTCGTGATCCACCCACCTCGGCCTCCGAAAGTGCTGGGATTACAGGCGTGAGCCACCGCGCCCGGCCCCCCTCTCCCCATTTCAAAGGCCAGCCACATTGCCAGGAAAGAATTAAGTAAATGGTTGAGGAAGATCACTTCTCAGCTTCATCAGTGCTTTTCCTCTCACTGTCAGTGCTGACTGCTCATTTACCAAAAGAAATGCCAAGTCCTCTAAATGGGATGATGATTTTCTTCTCCTGAAGGCGGTGGGATAAAGCAGAACTTCATTTAGAGGTGTCAACTAGTATCTTCAGTTTTCCTAAGACAATTAAGTGTACTGCCACAAGTGTATATGTATGTTAAATATATGAAATAATACCCATGGCTGTTATAAGTAGAAAGGGAAAAGTTCTTATTAATTTTTACTCTTCTTAGAATCACAAATTGAAAGCTTTTAAAGAGCTGGTTAGTTATTTTATAGAAATTTTCTGGATTTTAATCTCTCCTCTTTATCCTGAGGTCTGAGGATTCCTTATCCATGAGCCTTTCTCTAGGAGTTTCTATATTCATATCTTCCCCTTCCTTTGTTAGGAAACCTCACCTCTAGCCACAGCAGAATTTTTCAGTCTGTTTTCATTCTACCCCAAACCCACATGTATGTTGAAATCTATGGCTTTGTGTCTGAAGTTGCAACCTGAGATTCTGTAGGCCAGTGCTTTTCAGAATGGACAGAAGTCCATTACAATAACAGAGGGTAGTAGGGCTTAAGAACTCTGGGTTCTGTGGTTTAATCCAAGATTGGCTCCACCAGCCTGGAGGTTGCTTTTGATGTTTCCACTAATATGAGATAAAATCTCATTGAGTTATTTAGCTACTGAACTCTTTAGATTAAGCACAATATCTTCCCCAAGGGAAGCACTAATTTGGGAGCTAGCACTATTAATATCAAGACACATTTCCCTTTCTGTGGCATCAATGAGCCCCTGCTGCAAACTTGCGCATTGGACTTCTTTCTCTAGTCCTCTTTAAGTGCAAGCAATATAAAATAAAAAAAGAAAATATATTACCTATAATGGCTTATCTTCTTGGAAGTGCTCAAGATTGATCATTCTAGGAAGGATTCAATTAAATTTCTCAATTTTCCTCAATCTTTATTTTGTGAAATGTGGGGATGAGAAAAAAAGAACATCGCCAATTCTTTCCAATGCATTCATTTTTGCTTCTCTTTTCTTATGTCTAGGCTATTGTACCTACCTTATGAACTCTGCTATTCCCTTAATCTATAAAGCCCAAGATGTCAATGTCTAACTTAGTGTCTGAAATAGAACTCCCTAAATAAATGATTACTGAATGAATAAACTATTAAACACAGTTTAGATCTTTTGTGCAACATAGTGACTGTAGTTTAATAACAATGTATTGTATTCTTGTAAACTGCTAAGAGTAGATTTTAAGTGTTTTTAACACAAAAATGATAAGTATGTGAAGTAATAAATATGTTAATTAGCCCTTTTTAGCCATTCCACAATATATACATATTTCAAAACAACATATACCAATAAATGTATACATTTTGTATCTGTCCATTGAAATATAATCTTTTAAAAAGAAGCAGTTTATGGGTGAATGTGAATGCTAATTGAAGGAAAAGCCTTGACTCTTTAATTTTGGCACATTTTACCTGCCAAAATTTTGTTTTCCATCCAGAGAATTGGGTTGTTTTCTATTTCATGAATTACAGAGTATCCAAAAAGTAGCTTTTAAAATTTTACTGCAAAAAAATACTTTTGGCACTAGTGCCCCAAAATACTACCCTACCTAAGTAAAACTCAAAAGGAACTTTTATAAAAACAAATTAAAAGACATGTATGCTGGGTGGGTTTATGCAGAGGCTCCTCTAGGTCTGTATGTAGGAGCTACAGAGTAGTGCAATTATACCTTGAGGGATAAGCCAGCCAGCTGTTCAGCTCTGACCTCTTGCTTTCTTAGTGCATTCTCAGCTCATAATGATACAATGACTGAAAAGTCTCCAGGCAGTCCAAAGTTTGGTGAATCTTACTAACAGAAATTCTGACGTATTCCTATCATACCAGCCAAGATTATTTTATTTGAATTCATCTTCACTACTCCACAAGGATGTATAAGCACCCACTCTTGGCTAGCATTTTCCTGGGCATTGTAAAGATTTCACATAGTTTATGATCTAGGTGGCAAATAAGAGTAATGCCCAAAATGATTTGGGGAAAATATTTGAAAACACCACTAAGCACTATAAAAAGAGAAAAAAAAAAAGCTATATACTCTTCAGTTTAAAGAAACAAGGAGAGAGCCAGGCAGGTATAAGCAAAATAGCATCCTCAAATGGCATCTTTAAGCATGAGTAGAAGAGGAGTGCAGGATAGCCATGCACATGCAGCTCTGAAGTTAACTCCATCTCTCAAACCCAAAGCTTTATCTGCAACACTATGCCTGATAATATGTATAAAAAACATGGACATTTACAAAGCATATGACAATATCTTTGCCTGAACAAGAAGTGCACTAAAATAGTAATGAAAATTACACTAAAATAATGTTTCTTCAACACTATTAAGAGGTTTGTTGTTTAATTTTGTATTGTTTTTGGCACAGTGAAAAACAGAGCAAAGTTTAAGTGAACATGTACATTACTATTATGCATTCTCATCACGTAGTGTAGTTATATAGTACTATACTATACTATACTTTATATATGCTGATCATATGCTGACCTTAGGGTGAATCTAATATTGTATATGCATCTGTCATGATATCTGGGGTTAGGTACTCATGGTCAAATAAACAGACCAAGAAGTCCAGGGAGTTCTTCACGTCACCGTACAATGTTGCTGAGGTTAGAGAAATGATGAGAACCAGGAAAGGTTAAAGTTTAGAAAACAAAGAGGAAAACAGCTGTAAAAGATGGGATTCAAATAGACAAATTTGTCTAAGGAGGAAAACAGATATTGTACAAATTCATTTCCTGTTTCTTCCTGTCAATGATGTAACTCTCTGAAGTCAGACATTAAGGCCAGATGGTTCAGTCAAAAGGAGACTTGTAGCCAGAAACCTTTTCTTAACAAATTTTGGTAAAAATCTATTAACTTTTATTATTGTTTTCATGTTCTTCATTTGCATGACTTTCAATTCTTGAGTTAAAAAAAATTTTAAAGGCTTACTCAAGTGTTCATATCTGACAAGATTCAAACATTGTTATTATAAAAGACTATCAAAATCAAATCCCAGCAGTGAGACCTGTCCTTGGCAGCATTTACAGAGAAATTAATTGTGTAATTAGAATTGCAATGTGCATAGCACATTACTTAATCTAATATTACAGGGGGTTAAAACTACTGTAACTTATCTGACAACAAATGGTTGAAAATAAAAATGATGATAATCATTAGACTAAAGGAGATTGAAATAAATAAACAAAAAGACATAAAGTAGAAAAGAATCATAGAAAATTAACAAAGCCTAAAGATCTTTGAAAAGATTAATGTGTTAGATCTCTGACAAGATGACAAGTAAAAAGAGAAATAATCAAATAAGTAATATCAGACAGAAGAATGGATAAACTCATAGAAGCAGAGAGTAAAATGGTGGTTGCTAGGGGCTCGGAGAAGTGAGGAATGGAGTGATATTTGCCAAGGGTATAAAAATGGTGACTGTAGAGGTGATAAATATGTCAGTTACTTGGAATGTGGTAATTATTTCACAATGCATATCAAACATTAAGACACACAACTTAAATCTATTTATTTTTATCATCAAAAATTTAAATGGTAACAAAGTAAAACATTTTAAAAGACCAAAAGATGAATAAATAACCACAGATACAGCAGAGATGTAAAAGTGTATTGAAATAAAATTATAAATAGTTATTTAAATGCAAATTAGGAAATTTGGATTACATTGATAAATTTTAGCAAGATATCATGCCAAAATTGGCTCAAGAAGAAATAGAATTTAAATATATCAGAAATTTTTAACATATGAAAATATTCAAAAGCCTAGTTTTTGATCATTTACCAGTGAGTTCTATACCCATGCTATCATTCAAATAGCTAATAATTAACTTGATCTGATGTTGGTAATTTCAACCTGTTTTATGGTGAAACATATGAACTGCATCTCATATACGCATCAAATAAATGTAAGAAGTCCTCAGTTTATGCAGTAGTGTGATAATAATTATAGTGAAATATAGTTATTAAATATTAAGTATATAATAAAAATAATGCATATCTTGCTTCTTATTAATATGGTAAATAAGATCTATAAGTAACTCTGATATCTATCATAATTTTGAAAAGGTGATGAGCACCAATGTTATTTTGAACTATATCTCAAAATTTTATTGTTAAAGAAGTAACAGATACTGTTAATATTACTGTGGTTTGTTGACTATATTTATAATTAGGGAAATTGCTACAATTCAGTTTCAAGTTAGTGGAAATAAACATGTGCCCTTAACTGATTCAAATTTTTGGATACCCTAATTCTATCCATGGAAACCTTTGTTCATACACCCCAGGTTAAAAATCTCAAAAGGTAAATTATTTAACCTTTTGTACTTTAATTTTCTTATCTGTTAAATGGTAAAATGGGAATAATAATAGTACCTACCATAGTATATTGTTGAAAGAAACAAATTTATATATATATACACCATATATATATAAACCCAGTAGAAGAAAAATGCAAATAAATATTTTATATATAAATATATTTATTTATTTATTATATATTTATATATTTATAAATATATAATTTTATATATTTATAAATATATTATATTTTATATAATATTTATATATTTATAAATATATTATATTTTATATATTTATATATTTATAAATATATTATATTTTATATAATATTTATATATTTATAAATATATTATATTTTATATAATATTTATATATTTATAAATATATTATATTTTATATAATATTTATATATTTATAAATATATTTTATATAATATTTATATATTTATAAATATATTTTATATAATATTTATATATTTATAAATATATTTTATATAATATTTATATATTTATAAATATATTTTATATAATATTTATATATTTATAAATATATTTTATATAATATTTATATATTATATATTTATAAATATATAATTTAATATATTTATAAATATATATTTTTATATTTATATATTTATAAATATATTTTATATAATATATAAATATATATTATATATATAAACCCAGTAGAAGAAAGATGCAAATAAATATTTGCTGTTGTTGTTATTGATGTTATGAATCATTCAATGGATAGCCAATTCCTATCTAATAAAAGTTGTTTCAGAATATAGTGAAAGATAAACAATTCCAAGCTGATGTAATGAAGCTAGTGCAATTATCCAAAACCAGATAAAGACAACACACAAAAGCAATTTTAGGACTATTTCACTAAATACAGATGGAAGAATTCTAAAATAAATGCATTTAGAAACAATAAATCATGCTCAGTTTGTGAACCAACATCAGAAGATTTATTAATAGTATTCAGCATATTAATAGACTCAAAAGATAAAAATTATATCATTATCTCAATAGACACACAAAAAAGCAACTGTCGAAGTTCAACACTTATTTAGGACAAAAATCAGCAAACTAGGAATAAAAGAGAACCTCCTCAATTCGAAAAATACTATAATTCCAAGAAGCACAGTAAAATGTATACTTAATTAAGAAGATGTATATGAAAGCCCTGTATGATAAAAAATTAGCAAGGGTATCCACTATCACCTGTATTATTTATCAGAGTTTGAAATGTATATTAAAATAAATAAGATGTATAAGGACTTCATATACATAGAAAAATCAGCAGAATAAATAGAAACACCATTAGTAAAAATAAGAAATTTTTGCATGTTTGTTGAAATCAAAATAAATATTAAAAAATGAATTGAAGGCCGGGCGGGGTGGCTCTCGTTTGTAATCCCAGCACTTTGGGAGGCCGAGGTGGGTGGATCACGAGGTCGGGAAATGGAGACCATCCTGACTAACACAGTGAAAAACCGTCTCTACTAAAAATACAAAAAAATTAGCCGGGCGTGGTGGCGGGTGCCTGTGGTCCCAGCTACTCGGGAGGCTGAGGCGGGAGAATGGCGTGAACACGGGAGGTGGAGCTTGCAGTGAGCAGAGATCGTGCCACTGCACTCCAGCCTGGGCGACAGAGCGAGACTCCGTCTCAAAAAAAAAAAAAAAAAAAAAAAAATCTGAATTGAATTCCTCTACATCAAAAATAACCAGTTACAAAATATAATAAAAAATACAACTAGGATTTTATTAGTAGTAACAGAATCTAAGAATTGTAATTGTAACAATCACTAAAAGTAGCGATAATCTCAATGTAAAAAATACTAAAATCTTTCTAAAGGGTATAAAGGAAGGTCAATGGAGAGAATCTGTGGTGTTGGATAAAAATAACTATTATAAAAATTGAATTTTCCCCAAATTAATTAATACAACTACTCCAGTCATAATTCTAATTGTCTTGTAAAATAATTTAATAGGTTTATTCTAAAATTTCTATGAAAGTATAAACCTTCATGAATATCCAAGGATAAATTCTGAAAAAAAGTAGGAAAAAAGAGACTAGATGTGACACAAACTGAAACAGTAGCATTAAAACCATATAGTAGAAATAAAAGTATAGATCAATAAATCAATGGAACCAAATATAAAGCCTTGAATAGATCTATGTATGTATGGGTATTTAGCACTGGATAAAAGTATTCCTACAAATCAATAGAGTGAATATAGACTATTTTATAATTATGTTGGGCAAACTGGAATACTATATCAAGAAAAGTAAAACTGAACTCATAATATCATTTACAATGGTGAACTCTGGTTAAAAACCTTAATGTAAAATTAAAAAAAAAAAAACCTGAAATGTGTAGAATAAATGGTTTTCTTAAACAAAACTACAATAAACCAAAAGATAAAATTTTGATGAATCTAATTAAGAATTTCTACCCAATAAACAGGCTGATGACACACGGGAGAGTGTATTTGCATTGGGAAAAATGGCAAGGGATTTCTGTTTTCTTATAAGAAAGGCCATGAGAAGTAAATACCACTGCTGCAATAACCAGAAATAATAAAAATAAATTTTAAAAAATATTTGGAAAAAACCGGATTGCTGCAGAAGCAACAAAGAAAATGCCTTTCTCAGATTAGCTCATTTTCTTCCCTAAGGCATTTGTGAATCTGGATGTAGACTGAGGACAGAGCAGCTTTATTAGGGAAAAAAAAATCACCAAAGCTTTTGATATTATTTGGCTTAGGATGATATATTAGAATCTAGAAGAACCCCAGATATATGTCTGTTTCCCCCACAGGGTATTTGCAGGGGTTTGGGATGTTAAAGGAGACTAGGAACGTGGACCAGAAACTTCTAAAAGAGATCGTTAGATCTTTCACAGTTTCATGGTAATTAGGAGACAAAACCTATTAAAGAGGGAGGCCCTATTTTCAACACTGAGTTAGTATCCTGTAGATATTTGCAGATACTGATGCTATATGGAGTAGGAGACTAACAGGCTGATTTCAAAACCTGTAAATAAAATAATTGAATCTTGCAGTCTTTCAGAACCGTAGAGGCAGTCTTACCAGTCTCTTGGTGCTTTCTACAAACCAGAGATGCGCTGAGTTTCTCTAAACTACAACCCAGCTCTGACTCATCTAAAGCACTTTTTGAATTAAAGTGACTAGTCCCTTATCTTGTCTGGCTAACAGATAGAATAAACAGAAAAGAAAGAAAGATGAACAGAAAGAAAAAAGGCAAATAGAGAAGATGACAAGATGATAATAGCTATCTGGAAAGATGGAAGCAGCAACGACGGCAAATTTTTAAGTATTTCGATATCTCCTCATAAAAACAGAGTAACTAGGCCAGGTGCAGTGGCTCACGCCTGTAATCCCAGCACTTTGGGAGACTGAGGCAGTGGACCATCTAAGGTCAGGAGTTTGAGACAAGCCTGACCAACATGGTAAAACCCTGTCTCTACTAAAAATACAAAAATCAGCCAGGCGTGGGGGCGTGTGACTGTAGTCCCAGCTACTCGGGAGGCTGAGACAGGAGAATTGCTTGAACCCGGGAGGCACAGTTTGCAGTAACCCAAGATCGCGCCACTGCACTGCAGCCTGGGTGACAGAGAGAGACTCTGTCTCAAAAAAACAAAAACAAAAACAAAGCAAAGCAAAACAAAAACAAACAAACAAAAAAAACAGAGTAACTAGATAAGCCCTCTTTCCCCTGGAAGGAAGAAACACCATCCAAAGTCTCTGATGTTCTTTTACATACCATGTTAAGTATGCAATAAAAATTTACTAGAAATGCAAAGTGACAAGACAATGGCACCCCTAATCAAGAGAAAAATTCAACAATAGAAGCAGATCCGGATGGTGCAAATATTGGAATATTGGATTATCACTGTAGAATTGACCTACCTGGGAATTGGGAAAAAAAATCCTGGTTTCCGTCTCTGCTAATTTATAAGCAAATGTGGTGGAATCATTCCCTGGAATATAGTGTACATAATTTAGAAGCAACAGAACCGTATACCATTGCAATTTGAATAGATAATAACAGAATGCTGAGTGACCAAATTAAGAAACACTATGCATATGTACACAAAACACATATGCATAGTGGGTTTTTTTTTGTTTGTTTGTTTTTTGAGACGGAAACTCAGTCTGTGGCGAGGCTGGAGTGCAGTGGCGCCATCTTGGCTCACCACAACCTCCGACTCCCTGGTTCAAGCGATTCTCCTGCCTCAGCCACCTGAGTAGTTGGCATTACAGGCATGTGCCACCACGTCCTGCTAATTTTTGTAGTTTTAATGAGACAGAGTTTCACCATGTTGGCCAGGCTGGTCTCAATCTCCTGACCTCGTGATCCGCCCATCTCGGCCTCCCAAAGTGCTGGGACTACAGGTGTGAGCCACCACGCCTGGCCTAGAGGATTTTTTAAAGCGAATTTTGGTCCCATGAGCAAAATCCTTTTGTCTCTTGCTTTAAACATAGATATTCTAGAAGACTTTTTAAAGAGAATTTTGGTCTCAAGAGCAATCAGAGGAATGAAAATTTTAAAATTAATACTGTAAGTTTTATCCCCTAGTTTGGCAAAAATTTGAAAGCTGAATAATATCACTTGGTGAGGATATAAAGTAATGGACACTTTTGAACTGCTGATAAGAGTATAAATTGGTACAGTCATGCTGGAGCAACTATTAATTGACCATTGCATAAAGCAAACCCGTCAGTTCCATTTTTAAGTACTTACATTAAATTCTTATGTATGTGCACAAGAGGACAAGTATGAGAATATTAATCACAGCATTGTTTGTCATGGTGCAGTAGGGGAATAGACAAAGAAAATCTTATGTCTTCATTTGAAGGAATACTAAACATTGTAAAAGAGAATTTAGATCTCAAAAGCTAATTTTTAAGTTAATAAAGCAAAATACAGAACCATATGTATCATATACCAATTATATACAATTTAAAATGCTCAAGTATAGCAACACTTTACATTATCTAACTGTACTTTTACAACTAAAAATATTGAAAATGATGGTTTTTCCTGGGAAGAAGGGAAAGGGAAATGAAACAAAAAATGTAAATTAAAAATGAGACATTGGCTACATCTACAATGCTTCATTTTGAAAGGAAAGAAAAAAAAGACTACTGGAGAAGATGACAATAGCTATCTGGAAAGATGGCAGCAGCAATTATGGCAAGTTTTGGAATCTTTCTATACCTCCTCATAAAAACTACATCGCTTTTATGTAACTATCTAGTTACATAGTTATCCTGTAACTATCTAGAATGGAATGGAAATTATAAAGGGGCTTCTGGGGTCCCAAGCAGTTCTATTTCTTGGTCTAGGTAGTGTTTGACTTGTAATAATTTCAAAAATTGATAATAGCAGCTGTGTATACATAATTAGAATATATGTACTTGTCATATTATTTGTACTTTACTGTTGCATTAAAATTCCTCCAAAAAATAATAAAATATGTTGGTGGATCAACATCAAGATATTAAAAAGCTGGTATACATATTTTCCTCAAAGCCCAAAGTTATAAGCCACAAAACCCACTTGTTATTCATTTCTCTAAGCCTAGATTCAACAATAGGCTCTGAGCTTGTTTGATTGCCGTATTCTACTTGATCATAAATAATATACATAGGATACTATATTTAGAAGTATTACTTATTCAAAATTCTGGAAGTTCTCAGTAAATTTTATACTAAATTAGGAATGTTTTATCATTCATGAATAAAATGGGCAGATAGACTATACTATGCAGAGATTTTTATAATAATAGTGACACATTTTATGATAATCTATCCAAATATTCCATCTATGTCCCAATAATGATAATAAAACTTACACTAAATGAGTTTATTATTTTTTATAGTTTAAAAATTAATTTTATACATATTATTAGTTGATTTTCTCAACATATCTAAGAATTCAGATGCAGTAACCCTATTTTTAATTTAATTTAATTTAATATTTATTGGAGACAGGTTCTTGCTCTGTCACCCAGGCTGGAGTGCAGTGGCGTGATCACAGTTCACTGCAGGCTCGATCCGCCTGTGTTCAAGCAGTCCTTCCACCTCAGCCTCCCAAGTAGCTGGGACTACAGGCACAAGCCACCATGCCCACCTAACTTAAAAAGGATTTTTAAAAGACAGGGTCTTGCTATGTTGTCCAGACTGGACTTTAACTCCTGGGGTCCAGTGACCCTCCCACCTGGGCCTCCGAAAGTGCTGGGATTACAGACATGAGCCACCATGCTGGGACAATACTAATGGATTTTTACTCTCTAACCTCAAAAGGTTAATTAACATGCCCAAGATTACATGAAAATTCATGGAAGAAATAAAATTCCAACTTAAGTGTTATTTTTCTTTAAGTCTGGTGTTTTGCTATTAAAGTATTGATTTTTTTCCAGATTTCCTGCCTAGTCCATTGTAACTGGCAATTGAACTCATGGGTTTAACCTCATTAACTTAATGTTCTAACTGTGTTAATTAAATTAGGACAAGCATGATTAGACATTGAATTCTACCTGAAAAACATAAGGGATCCTCAAAAATATTTTATTTTGCTTTCAAACTCATTAAAGAGCACTAGGCAACCAAAGTAGATACACACAATAAGAGGAAAGAAAAGCTTACTTTGTCATCTGCTAACAACCCTCACAAAGCCAAGCCCAAAGTAATTTCATAGACACAGATTTCCTTAGAAACCCTAGGGTTATAGGTTAGTTGCAATTAGGATATTAATAAGAACATTGACATAGGTAATAAAAAACTCTATTTGGCCAAGGATAGAATGTTTGAGAGTTTCAGATCTCAGTACTTTGCCATGCAACCTATTGCCATGCAATATTAAGGTGCTTAATATTGACCTACTGGCTCCAAACTTATGTAAAGGAGTTTATCACAGCTATCCTTGTTGAATTTTTATTCTATGTCAGAAGTAAAAACGAAAGTGCTAAAAGATAATATGGGCATAAATTATGAAACCTCAGCCACGCAAACCCCCCTAATTTTAATTGCCCTATTTAAAAATATATCAGTCAGCTATAAACTATTTCTTGGGTGGCTACAAAACCTATTACTGAATTGTTTCTACAAATATTTACAAAGCAAACATCCTGAGTATCTATTGATCTCTCACAAGAAACTCTGGGAAAGATATCAATTCAACAAATCAATTTAAAATATACTTATTGATCTGCTAGTAATGCCAAACACTGAAATACCTTTTACATATTCAAAAATAAGTATGAGTTGAGGCTTTTTGCCCTCAAAGACGCATCGATCTAGGAAGAAGAAAATACAGGTAATTAAATAATATAATGTAAGTACATTCCTATCTGTGATTGTAAAAATTATAATCTCTCCTCTATATCTTCATGCAGCCCACAGTCCTAAAAGAATTCAAGCTCTCGAAGACGTAGATGAGGAAGTAATTAGTTCTACACTGTAGTGAGGGAAGTTAGAGAAAATGTTTTAGAAATTAAAATTTTCAGCGGACTCCTTCTGAATTTCATGGGGACTTGCACAACTTAAAACCCTTCTGGGAATGGAAAATATTTGCTGTTTGTTAAGACAAATTATTTTATTCAGTTTTTCTCATCCATTCAATCACTTAGAGTTTTTAGATTGCAAGTAACAGAAATTCACTTAGAGTAAATTAGACCACATAAAATAAATTAACTAGAATAGATGTGATGATCAAACCTAAGGAAATCAGAAGGACAGATCTTAGAAGAGAAACCAAAAAGGTTCTGGAGAACTCCTCCAGGATCTACATTACAGAAAGTGATGAATAGTTTCTTCCAAATGCTGTTATCGGGAAAAAAACAAATGGAGTTCCAATCCTATGTTAAAAGGATGACATGAAATATATATGCAAAATAGCCATGTCATAAATATATAATTTAAGAAATTATTATGAAGCAAATACCATATAACAGCTGCTCAGATAAACAGAACATTTATCAGTACTATGTAAGCCTTTAATCTGTCCTTTCCTAAATGGAATCCATTCATTTATGACTTTGTGAAAATAATTTTCTTGCTGCTCCTAAACTTATTTAAAGTTCAAAAACAAGCAAACTATTATCTATTCTTTCTCACTATAATCAAAATCAAATTTTAGACAAGAAATAAGAGAAGAAATGAATCGAGAGTGAGAAAGAGAGAGAGAGAGAATGCATGCAGAGAGGAGGGAAGAAAAAGAGATTGACTCAGGTATTCAGGTTGACCAAGCTTGGAAAACATCCTCAGCCTTGACTGACAATGCTAATAAAGACTAGATCAAGAGAGAAATAGTACTTTAAGCAATACATGATGTCAATAACAGCAGAAATGTGAACTCATGCTGGCCAGGAAAATTGATAAATGTCTACTATATCCATGAATTTTCCGTTAGTGCCACAACAGCAAAAGTTCATATATAGTAAAAGATTTTCAAATGTCAGGAAACTATCCAATTTAGGACCATATATCTTGACTCAATCAAAAATCAACATCTTGACTTTGACTTCTTCATGTTCTTTATATTGCAGAGTTCGTTTAAGACCTCAATCAAATGCTACTGCTTCTAAGAAGCCAACTAAAGCCCTTGCAACTCTCCTCTAGACTAAAAGTTGGTATTTACCAGTCAGTATTACATTCTCTTTATGCTAACTTTTAATTTTTGGGAAAATTTTATTGCATTTTGTTTACATGTGGAAGCACTGACAACTGAAAAGAGGCAGCTTGTTCCACTTACTTTTCTGAAAAACCGCATGGCTAGATTAACTTTCTCCCCACTCAGGACAGGATTGAATAAACCTTATCCACCACCCACCCCCCAGCAAAAGGTAAAAACGGGGAGTTGTGGCAATCACGTAAAAAACAAATCAATGTGTAAGAATTCCCAGTTGGTCAGTAATCAGATTTGTTCTTTTTGTACTTGGAGGGCACTCCCTACCTCCTCACCCCTCCCAACCATCACCACCTCCCTCAAAGGAGACACACAGAAAGTGCCTTCCAAATGGAAAACCTATTCTGTCCAGTGCCATAGGCTTAGATGTATCTGCCAATTCCAGCCAAAGGGATGGCCATCTGTCAACTTAGAAAGGTTGAGAGCTATGATGTCACCCCAGCATCATGGTCAGCTCCATACCAGGACAACAGCCTCAAAGGTTAAAATACAGATAACACACCAGCACATACACATTTATGGGTGTTAAATACCAGAAAGTGAATCCACTTTAGAGATTTATCAAATGAGGAAAAGAGGTTACTGGTAGGGCTGTATGTGTTGGGCACTGGTACCTGTTGCACTCAGAATTAACACTGCTTAACTGACATCATGCTGGGGAAAAGAGGGAGATAGAGTGGTAACAGAGGAAGTAAACGTAACAAAGGAACACAGCTTGCCTGAAATTATGTAATTTTTTTTCCTCTCTTGACTGTATAAGGCATTTTGAATTGGAAAAATGTCTTTCCTTCACACTCTTCCAAATAATCAGAGGGAATATAAAAGCTGATTCAGAATACAAATAAAACCTGTTTCATCTCCCCCCCACCTCCAAAAAAAATTATTCTTCATACCCCAAGCCCATAAAGTACAGGGCAGGCAATTGATTTCCTAATTAGGAGGCAAACCATGTCCACCTTTGGGATGAGGCGGTTGTGCCAAGGGTCCCTTCTGAAAGCTCCAGCCCTGACCCTGACCTTTTCAGGCCTCAAAAGGTAAGCATCCATCTTCGGTGAAGTTTTAAGTCTCACTGGGGTGCCTGCCAGCCACTGCCTCCTGGGCAGTGGGAGGTCAGGACCCTCCTGGATTTCCATGCATCCCCTGCCAGGTGTCTAGACTGTTCCATCCACATGCAGCATTAAGCTTCATTCAGTTGGTAGAAGTGGGCACAGACCGGAGACAGCACCTTCTACATTGGTCATGCCAGACAGGCCACAGAGAGGAAACCAGAGGCCGGAAAAGTGATTTTAAAAGGAAAAGAAAGAGCAGCTTTTGTCACCCAAAACTTCAACAGGATGATATTTAAAAAATAAAATATGGGGACTTATTTTTTTTCCTCTGCAATGATGTGCCATTTTACTTGAGACATTAAAAAAAAAAGCTTTTAGAGTAGTTGTTTTTTTGCTTTTTCGATTTAAACATTCATGGAAACAGATGGGACAGCAGTGCTGTGGTGTGGCTTGCGTGTAAGTGGCCATGCTGATCTGACTCCTTCAGACTTCACACTGGTATGGGCCTGCCTTCCCTTGATCTGGCATGGCAAAAAGTCTCCATCTGCCTAGAGAGAAGGGGTAGCCAAAAACAGTCATGCCAGACAGATGTCTGTTCATGGTAAATGTCATGTTCATCCATTTTGGTTTCTTAGCCCATCTTCTCTCTTCCTTTTTCAATTGTCCTACAGCCATTTCCTCCATGCAGATGGAGTGCACCTGGGTCCCAAACATCACTGATGTGAAAATGAAGAGCAGCCCCTCAAAGCACAGTGGGATGAGGAAGACCACCGTGGTGGGTGGAAAGAAGGAGCTACACTCTGTCAAACTGACTTAAAAGGGCTGCATTTTTTCATGAGGAGAGATACAGGCATCTGCCATTCCTTCCCTGTTCAGTTCATAGGCTTCGGGAGATTTGAGTAATCTTCTTCACAACAATCCAGGAAGTGTAATCCACCATGATGAGGGCAGGCAAGGAAATGAGAGCTGTGCACATGATAGGCAGGACAAAGCACTTCTGGTTGTTCTCTTCGATGCAGATGTTGACCCAGGGACAGTGGGGGTCCACCCTACGAATGCACCCCTTACAAACACTGCAGCGGCAGGCTGGGTCAGGCTTGAGGCTGCAGCACTGGGACACGAGTATACCACATGCCTGGGCTTCATCTGTAAACTCTGGATGAATTATTTGTGGCATTTCATTTGGGCACTGCTCCGGTGTCTGTCAGCATGGCCTGGCAGTGGGAGGCCAGGGCCAAGAAAGTCAGCAGGTTGAACACAATTCCATTGATGGTGCTGTAAGCATAGTCTCCGGATGGAATCAGCATGAAAAAGAGGACCACAAACTCCGCATAGAGGACCAGAAACCAGGTGATGATGGCACAGGCGATGCCACAGCCATCGTGGATAAGCCACATGGTTCTCATAGGACCAGGGTAGGGAGGTCGGACAGGCATCTCCAGCTATGGGTACTCTGGTTTCCTCTCAAAGTCTCTGAAGTGGTGGGTGGGGACCAGCACCATAAGCTATTCTGTCCCTACTGGCTTTGTGATGCAAGAGGCAGTTCCCCAATCTGAGGACCCTGTGGGGCTCCCGCCTTTACCATTGTCACCTCCACCACCGCATACCCTTGAAGTCCCCAACACAGGTCCTGGCCTTGGACTGTGGCCACGGCTCCTCGGCTGGAGGCCTGCTGCTCTCTGGACTAGGCCAAACACGAGGCCTCTTTCTGCTAACTCTTAATATAATTTCCATTTAATAAGCATCTACTCTGAACTATGCACTATGCTAAACATTTGCAAGCACTAACTTTAACAGTAACCCCAAGAGATAGATAGATACTCTTATCATCCTCATTCTACAGAAGAGGAAAAGGAGGATTAAATATATTAAGAGAATTTTTACAAGAACTGTCTTCCTTCTTACATAATCCAGGGCACAAAGTCGAAGTGCACCGATCACCTGAGTAGTATGTTAGATACTCTTAACAGAGCTTGTAAGTACCAATATTAGAGGAGGAAATTTGGAAACAGAAAGAAACATTCTAAAAAGTAAACTGAAATGTGTTTGCCATTTTAAGGTATTCTATTGGAAACAGCATATGTTAAACAAGGATTAGTATCTTAAACCAGATTTGTCAGACTTTATGACAGGAAATATATTGAATTTGACAGCAAAAAAAGATTTCCTTGTAGAAGTAAGTAATACCAAGAAACAGTACCTAGTTTTTGAGAAAATTTAAATTTAATTTTGTATCACCTATTATAAGATTTCTATTTCACAGAATTTTGATATTAATTTGTTAAAAGATGACATATTCAGTGGCACATTGTTAGGTTAATTGGCTCCAATGAATCACATTTCTCAGCATTCACATCGTTGGTGTTGCCCTCCCACATGTTCTTGGTTATGTGACTTGCTTAGGAGAATGAGAAAAACATGTACACAGTGGGGCTTGTCCTCAAGGAGTATTGCTGTCACCATTCTAGACTTCCAGAAGATCAAAGACCACATGGAAAGGAAAGCAGCCATCACAAATGTCTCAGTCAAGCTGAGCTCCCAACAGACCATCTAGCTGAATGAATCTGCATGAGACAGCCCAGGATAACATTGCGGAGCCACCCACCTAACTCAAGGAATTGCAAGAAATAATGTGATTTTTTGTTGTTGTTGCTTTAGGTCAGCAATAGACAATTGATTTGTAAAATGGTACCAGAATTGGATGGTTGCTAAAACACTCTCCTAAAATTTGTGGTATTGGTTTTGAGACTGGGCAGTGAGTTGAGAGGAGTTGAGAGGAACCTGCTATTAGAGGCTAGAAAGATGTTTTGTAGTATTGAAGCAATGACAAACTGTTCTCTACAGTCTTTGGAGATAGAGAATAAGCCTAATGGTTCAGTAATGAATCTGTGGATCTAGCTAAGGAGAATTCTAGGCAGAGTTAAAAATGTCAATTTTCTTCCTTGGCTGTATATGATAGAATAAAGAGAAAGAGGCACTAAAAGGGAGATTTTACTTTATAAGGGGAATGTAAAGAATATGTAAAGAAGCTAAGAGTTGCTTGGTTGAAAAATCAAAACATTTCACATAATCTCCAGACAGCAGAGAATTCTCATAAAAAGAAATGCCTTTAAAATAATTATCAAATCAGTGTTACAGCTGTAATACCCTTTGTTAAGACCTCAAGACAATTGAAGGAGGTGCCTAGTAGACCCTTTCATCTAGAACAAACGGCTCTTTAGAATCTTATAAGCTTTGTCCCACAGCAGCCATACATGGAGTCTAAGGGAAAGAAAGAGGCCTGCCTTAAAAATAATTGTAAATGTGGCTTTGGGGGGCATCAAGTGAACTCTATCTGACTTACAGAAATATCACAAAGTTTTTAAGAGAATTTATCAGTTTGTACTGAAAAAGATAGAGACAGTTTGAAAGGAAAAGGAGCCATTGTCTCCCCTAATTTACTGAGGGTTAGTAGACTGATAAAGCTACTCAGCTGCAAATGTAGGTCATTTCTTATTTGGAAAAAAAAAAAAGACATCTCATAGGCCAGAACTGAATTCTCAGAGGTAAAAGCCAATAATCACAGAAGACAATGCTTTAGAGAATGACTCCCAGCTCCCAGGAACAGAACTAGGCCCTGATCAAGGAACATTCCCTGCTATCAGTGGGGCTTGTGCCTGTCTGGCATTTAGAGTTGCTATGATCCAATGATTGCCATTGTCTTCTCTTCCTTTCTTTTTTTGAATGGGAGTGTCTATTGCTGTCATTGCTCCCTGATTCATTGTTGTGTGTTAAGTATGTGAGGGGCAAATAGCTTGTTTTTGTAAATAATGAGGATTTATATCAAAAGAGCTCCACCCAAAATACCTCAGCCATATCCAAACCTGATTCTTTTTATTAGATCATAAACTCCCTAATTGATGCTACGACTGGATGAAGCCATCAGTGTTTCAGAGGTGATGAGTGTGTTTTGTGTATGAAAGAGACATGAATCACTAGAGCCAGAAGCTGGACTGTGGAAGATTGCTGCCAAAATGGAATACAGTGAATCACACCTTCCTGTAACTACATGCTTGCGATATCTCCTGCCTCGTGGAATTTGCTTTTGCCAATGGAACATCAAGCATTTGCATATTGGGGCTTCCTCTCTTGAAACATTGCTGCCTTATGTGAGGAAGCCTGGTCTAACCACCTGGAGGATGAAAGACCACATTTGGAAAGACACAAAGCCATCTCAGTTTTCTCAGCTGAAGTTAGCTCCCAGCCAATTTTTTAGATGGGTGCAGCTGTTCAAGTAAGCCCAGGTAAATATAGTAAAAGAATTACCCAGTTACAAGTTAGGGACCAGTAACAAAGATTTCTGGAGACTTTATCATACCTAACTAATGCTGAGAAATAGTAAACATTCAATTATTGCTGGCTAATTGATTAAGACTTCCATATGATGGTTTTTCTTTTAGGGATACTTTAGTTTTCAATAATGTATACATCTATAAATAAATACCATACCAAAATTATCTTTAGACAGTAGGAGTTTTGATAGTTATTGTTAGTTCTCTGGTACCACCAAAATAGGTGTTTAATTTTGAATATTAGTTTTTTACCTCCCATTTTTTAAGCATGTTATGATGTACAAGTAGAAGAGATTTGTTGAGAATTTTACAGCCCAAATCAAGTTCAAATCACTGACCCATACACATTCTTGTTTAACACTTGGGATTTAATTAAAAAGTCTGGATTTATCCTGAATAATGCTTTGATAGAGCTAGGAGGTCAAGAAAAGGAGGATGAGAGAAGCTCATGTTAAAATGTCACAGATTCCTACTGTTATTACCATGTTTCAGTAGTTTTTCTCAAATGAATGCTTCCAATTTGTTATATTCCCTTAGTCAATTTCCAGAAATTGATGTTTTTGACAGTTTTGTCTAGTTTTATCATTGCATTACATGGAGAGAATTTGCTAAGCTCCTCACTGAGCCATTCTGAAAGTCCTATTTCCCCATTGCTTCTGTTCGAAGAGTTTTTACTTTTTATCTTCTTAATATTTTCCAAGTAACCTATCAATATTAATGTATATAGATCTATTTATATTACAGTGTACATTATTATTCACCACCAATTTCTTTCTTCTTCATCTTATTCTATCTTTAGGATTCTGTTCTGATTCATTTTGTTGGTTTATTTTGTTTATGTGGTTATTCCTTAAGTATTTTCCTCAGATAACAAGTATGAATTATATACTCCATATTCAACGTCTTAGTAACAAAAAGAACTTTGGCACACATGGGCATATTATTCACTAGGGAACTTTCACTTCTGTGGGTGATCTGAGATAGAGGCTATAAGTCCCATGCAAATGAGCGCATGAGCTTGCCCCGAGTCTCTTTTAAAAATCATGGCGGTGGCTCACACCTGTAATCCCAGCATTTTGGGAGGCCAAGGCGGGTGGATCAGGAGGTCAGGAGATCGAGACCATCCTGGCTAACACGGTGAAACCCCGTCTCTACCAAAAATACAAAAAATTAGCCGGGCATGTTGGCGGGCGCCTGTAGTCCCAGCTACTTGGGAGGCTGAGGCAGGAGAATGGCGTGAACCCCAGAGGCGGAGCTTTCAGTGAGCCGAGATCGCGCCACTGCACTCCACCCTGGAAGACAGTGAGACTCCGTCTCAAAAAAAAAAGAAAAAAAATCATAAGCAAGGAAAATATTACACCAAACCTGAAAAGAATCCTGTAAAACTCTGCTTCCTGACCCTGAGACATATTAGGAAGCAAATCAAGTGATGTGTAAAGACATAATTCCTTTAAAGGGATCAGGACTTCAAGTCTACCAGCTTATGGGGAAAAACCTAAATTCATGTTTTGTGCATGAAGAAAAGCTTGATTAATAAACTGACATAAACTTGACATAAAAACTGGACTAAAGCTGAATAAAAGGTTGTGGCTCAATTAAAAGTATGCCCAATATTAACTAATGAGGAGAGTTTTATAATCCACAGCATTCAAAGACTCTTAAAGGAAGAAAATGACCAGGGAAGATGAATTCATAAAAAAATTATAAAAGATATGAGAAAGCCTAATACCAACCATATAGCGTTGGATTTTATAAAATAAACATTTGCATCCAAATGACTATAGCAAATAGAATAATCTGAAAGGGTACCAAAAATAAATACATTTCATGTCTAAAACAACTATATGAAGATATTCACACAATAAAACAATAATAGAAAAATTTTGAAATGAGAAGAGCCAGATGTGAAAACTATACAAAAAATGCTTAATATAAAATATAGTCATTGAAATAAAAATTGTTCAACATTGATCAAGTGTGGATGAGATATTGCTAAAGAGAGAATTAATGAATGAAATAGTTCAGGAAATCATTCAGACATAGGAAGATAAAATGGAAGAAAATGTGAAAAAAAATCATGAATAATATATATCACCATCCTGCATTTCTTTCTGAAACTCCAAACTTGTATATTCAACTGTCAGCTCATCCATTTATACTTCGATATCTAAGACATTTCAAACCAAGCATGGCTAAAACTGATCTCCTAATTCTCCCACCAAAAGCTATTTTATTCACTGTCTTTCCCATCTCAGTTAATGCCAGTTCTAACCTTCCAGTTAATTATGCCAGTTACCCTGGTGTAAGCTTGATGTCTCCTTATTTTCCTATGTTAAATTCAATGTATCATCAATTTGTCGACTCTAGTTTCAAAATATATTCAATATCTGACCACTTCTCACAATCTCCACTACTACCTCCCTGATTGCCAGAGTTCACCTGGATTATTTGTTAAAAGTCTCTTATCTGGTCTTCCGTACTGCCCTTGCTGCACTATAGTCTATTCTCAGCACAGAAGCTAAAATGATATCTTTGTAGTATAATACGATTTATATCTAGTCTGTACTTAAAACTTGATAATTTCATTTCCATTAGAGTAAAAACCAAAATCCTTCAAGTATCTACATAATCTGCCACCTGCACACATATTACCACCTCTCTATCTTCATCTCTTTGTCTGTCCCCTTCCTCATCACTCACTCTGCTCTAGACACAGTGGGATTCTTGCTGTTCTCTGATTATATCAGGCATGCTTTTCCCTTATGACTTCATCTTAAGCTGTTACTTCTTTCTAAAACATCCCTTCTCCAAATAGCCATGGCTAATTTCCTCATCAAGTTAACTGCTCCGGTATCAACTTTCCAGTGAGACCTATTTGAATATTCTATTTAAAATTCACCCCATTGCTAATCTCAAGCACAATGGCTAATAATTAAATACTTAATGTCAGCAACTATTATATTTTATATAAAACTTATTGATGAAATGCAATGATAGACAATGGCAACATGACAGAACATTAAACTGAAAAAGTTACTTTATTTCGATTAATTATGTGAGTTATTTAGGACACATGTAACACTGCATTATATTGTCTGTAGAAGATCGAGGATAGCAAAAGGCTTTATGAACTTACTCTGGGTACAGAAACCTGAGCCAAACTGATTTAGATGCAGAATTCATGAGGGACAGAAGGGAGTAAGGACAACGAGCCTGGTCACACACAGGAGTTATAAACTCAAATGCCAGTAGGAACCAGGCTGACAACCTAAATGTGCGTGCTAGCCTGTGGCAAAGAAGAAAGTATGTAACCAGCAAAGAAAATCAAACACATGACCCATGAGCTACACTTCCTAGTGGAACGTGATTCCTGACTTACTTCCACTAGAAAATGGTAGGTCAACTGACCTACTGTTTCTTTGTTTCTGATGTAGTTTTATTATTTGGTAAGACAGTTTTGGAGAGGGAGAGCACTTGGATATCCTTTTAATACAAAAGAGTTAGTGGTCCTGCTTCTGTGCTTAATGTTTTAACTGAAAGAGTCACTTCTAAATTTAGAGTCTACACTTTTATTCTAAAAATAAATTGAATGCTTGGACTTAATCAGGCATTGCATTTGTGATTCCAAGTCTTTGTGGGCTTCAACTATGATTTTGCTTATGTGCAACCCAGACCCTTGCAGGAAAAGATTCTTGGAAGTGACATAGAATTCTTGCCATATGGTTTGCACATGCATTTTCTGCATGCATGGCTAATTCAAGGACATGAGAAAACATACGCAAATGCTATTGGGCATGGAAATTTAGACATTTCTTTGAAATGTTGACCTTTAAATGTTTACCACCTGTAGTATACAGGATATGATAACATCTCCCAAAACTACAAATCTTCATTGTAAGTATGACTGGAAATGATCATCCTCTAAAAAGAGGAAAAATTCTCATCCTCTGTACACAAGAGGTTATCTCTACTAGACCGCTTTGGAATGAGAATATTTGTTCATCCCAATGTTGTTGTTGTTGTTTGATAGGTGACTTAAATCACCATTAGAAATAAAATGTCCATCATCCTACCACTCTCAAAGATAAACTATAAACAGATAACAAAATGTTCAAGATAAAGTTTTGTGCCACAAAGATTAAATAAATGCTGTCAATTCTTAGTTTTCTGTTCTAAGGTTATGAACAATCAAAAAATACACATTATCCTGATTTTATAAACATAATGCTTTGTTATGCATTTAATCTGAAACAGCACCATCTAAGGAAATCATCTAGCTGTGGAGATTTAAAAAATCTGTGACACTACAGCTATGAATTTAGGAATTATTATTTTAATTAAAATTAGCTGAGCCAGGTGGGATAAATCATTTTTTTCCTCTGAGCCTCTGTTTATACATCTGTGAAATGAGCTTAATAATGCCAACCTTAGAGGTTGTTATAAGTATCAAATGAGATAATGTAAATCAACAGATTTTAAAATTATGAAGTATCATCTATTTTCTGGTTTAAAGCGGAGGTAGATCAACTCGGGGCTGAATCTTGATTCTTCCACTTGCATTCTGTATGACCGTGAATAATTTATGCAGTAATTCCGGTGGTGGTGGGAGTGGGGTTGTTTCTGTAGCATATTACAATCCTATCTCCCACTTCCCAGAGTGTTTTCTATTCTGTACACTAGATGATTGCTTAATGGTAACTAAGGAGTATGATGGACAATAGCACGCAGTTTAACTGAATTGGCAAATATCTATGATTAATCAGATTATCCATATGCCAATAACTAAAATTAGCTTATATTTTCTGAGGAGTTATTCTGCACAAAGAATCTCATAAATATACAATATAGATTATATGATTTTCACAATATTCTCACAACCCTTATGAAGTACATAACACTGACCTCCAGTACATAATAAAACTGATGATCAGGCAGATTAAGTGACTAGAAGACAACACAGAGTAAGCAGAACTAGTAGAAACAGAAATACAAGGAAGATTCTTTTTTCCCCTCACTTCTCAGTTCATAAAATTTGACTATTAATATATATCAGCAATTGTCATAGCAAAAAAATGATTCACTATATTTTCTTACTATGTGAGATGAGTGTGATGACTGCTACACTACAGAACCCCTCTATATTCTTTTACTATGGCCATAATAAATGCTCAGTGACTTTGGCAATATGTGAAGCATGTGTATGTATGTCATCTGCCGTGTGTGTGTGTGTGAGTGTGTGTGTGTGTGTGTTTAGTATTTAATTTTAGAATCCACTCTTTACTAAAACTACTAACAAAATTTACATGAAATAAAATTTTTCAGCATTATGATGTATGGATGGTGGGCCCTACAATATGAATGGAGACCAGAGAAATAGAGAATGAGCTCAATGCTTATGAGGGAGAAAATTTAAAGTCAGAAGGATATGGTAAGTGATGGCAAGAACCTGACAGCTGAGCCACTACTGTAGACATCAAGAATGCATTGTAATGGTCTTACCTTGATTCCAAACATGACTATAATATCATTCTGGTTTTTGTTTGTTTGTTTGTTTTTGTTTTGTTTGAGACGGAGTCTCACTCTGTCGCCCAGGCTGGAGTGCAGTGGCACGATCTCAGCTCACTGCAACCTCTGCCTCCCAGGTTCAAGCCATTCTCCTGCCTCAGCCTTCCGAGTAGCTGGGACTACAGGCGCCCGCCACCATATCTGGCTAATTTTTTGTATTTTTAGTAGAGATGGGGTTTCACCGTGTTACCCAGGATGGTCTCCATTTCCCGACCTCGTGATCCACCCACCTCGACCTCTCAAAATGCTGGGATTACAGGCGTGAGCCACCCATGCCCGGCCCACTATGGTATCATTCTTAACACAGTGTTGTTGGATAAGATGAAAACGTATTTGTCATCCATAGCCTAGACCAGTAATTCTAAACTGTAATTGTGCATTAGAGTCACTGGAGAATTCCTAAGAAATACCAATGCCCTAGCCTTGCCAGCAATTCTGATTCATTTGGTCTCAGTGAAATCCAGGAATCTATACATTTTTTTTAAAGTTTGCAGGTGTTCTAATATGCAATCAAATTAAGGAACACTGACTAAGGTTGTAGATAGATGCAGTCATCAGTTTGTTAAAAGGACAGCAAAGATAGACAAAGAATGAATTGACACAGACCTTTCAGAAAAGGGGACTATTGAAAAATAATTAACCATGAAATTTGAACTCTAAATATTTTTAAATTTGAACATGAAGCATCTCTAAAGAATTTAATGGTATTTAAAATATTTAATGTGCTTAATGGAGGATATGAAGTGGAAACAAAGGCAAGCCTGTCTTTCTAGCAAACATTTAGCAGTCTGCTAAAGGGACTGGTAGAGCATTTAGGAGAGGTGAAAATAAAGGTGGGGTGAGGCCTGCAAGCCAGAGAGACAGGCCAATGTCAGAGCCACATTTTAACTAAAAAATACACATTCTTTTCCTTTCACCTCATATTCACTTCCTATAAATGGTGATTACTTCTTTAAAAATTTTTATGTTTTATGTTCTATAAAATTCTTCTTAATAGTGACAATCATTTTGGCCAATGTAAAATACAGCAGAATTTTGAAGTAACTTCTTATTTAACATTTTTTCCTTGAAGAGTACCAACAGAAATAGATAGGACGTGTAGTACACATTCACCCACTGTGATCTGAACAAGCAACATTTAACATTCCATTCTTATCCCTAATCTACTAAAAGTAAAATTACTATGCTAGACATTTGTGCCAGTGACAAATTACAAGAGAATCTTCAGGACACTCAATGGTCTTTTGTAGAAACTATAGTCAAACTGCCAGTTTCCACTGACATTCTCCAACAATTTGGCCCTTAAAGACTTGGAGTTACGAATCAGTAGGTTTCATCTAGAACATCTGTGGACATTTAAGTTCACTGGAAAATTGGCAAAATTATCCTAAGGAATAAAAGACACTTAACAGTGATATCAGTCATCCATCATCTCTCACAATCATTCATTCCAGCAGAGCAACAGATTTAGAAAATTGGTGTTGGGCTCACTCTCTTGTCTCCTCATTCCTGTCAGACTCACCTTTCCTCTCTTGCTCTCAAGTGCCATACAAGGTGTTTTCATAGCATAAATTGCCCACATGAACACTTATCACAACTGATTGATGGTGAATGCAAAGCATTAAGAAATGCTTCCAAGTGACCCCTCATCAAACATGCCCCAATGCTGCCCTAAACCAAAATGGGAATGTGAGAGTAAAACAAGTTATATCAGGCAAATAGGAGAAAAGGAAATGGAGAAGGCTTAAGAGAGAAAATTATTTAACTTTACTTGATTTGCCTGACTTTACACTGACAGTAAATCCAGCATTGTACCACTAAACATGCAGGATTTATGCCAACCCCTTTTCTCTAAATGAAGTAAATGAAAAATATCAACCTGTGAAAAATCTTATGGATTAAATAAATAACAGTAAATAAGCAATAGTAAAAGTTTGAATCTGTAGATTATTTTATTTTTGCTTTTGAAACAGTCTATTTAAGACCAACAGCTCTCAAAGAGTGGTCTGAGACTACTGTGAGCTCCTGAGACTTTTCAGGGAGTACACAAGGTCAAAATGATATTCATAATAATACTAAGATATTATTTCTCCATATCACTCTCATTTTGTCATAAATATATTTTAGATTTTTCCAGAGACTACACAATGTATCCAAAATAATCTGAAAAGGCTACTCAAATAGTTCTCCCACTTTCAATTGAATATTTATGTGAGGCTAGATTTTCTTGATACACTTTAACTTAAACAATAAATTGCAGCAGATGAAGGCAAGAGCATAATTAGTACTGTAGTTACTTTATATTAGGCCAGACATTTAAAAAATTGCAAAACTGTAAAGCAATGACACTATCCTTGAAATTTTTTATTTTAAAATTTTAATTTTTTATTACAATGTTAATTATATCAAAAAATATTGGACTTATTATTGTTTTACTCAAATGATTATTAAATTATATGTTTAGGCTGGGCACGGTGGCTCCCGTCTGTAATCCCAGCACTTTGGGAGGCTGAGGCAGGTGGATCACCTGAGGTCAGGAGTTCAAGACCAGCCTGGCCAACATAGTGAAACCCCATCCCTACTAAAAATACAAAAATTAGCCGGGCATGGTGGCACATGCCTATAGTCTCAGCTACTCAGGAGGCTGAGGCAGGAGAATCACTTGAACCCAGGAGGCGGAAGTTGCAGCGAGCTGAGATCACGCCACTGTACTCCAGGCTAGGTGACAGACTCTCAAAAAAAAATTATAGGTTTAAAATGTCTCAGTTTTAATTTTTAATTCAGCAAACATAAATTGATATAATCCACATAAACAAGAGCTTTTTGAGGTTCTCAAAATAATTTTTAAGGTGTCTTCAGAAAAAAGGTTTGAGATTTTCTTTTAGACTAGTCTTATCATCAATTCATCTTGTTACATTTTGCATCATTTCTAATTATTTTTTCTTAAGAATATAATTGTGCACCTAGCACCTGTATCTTGGTTTCTCATACCACTATTCAATTAAAAGAATCAGGATTTGTTGGATAAATGGCTGGTTCTAGGACTTGTGCAGGAAATATACAAGATAAACCAGGAGCATCTTGTAGTGCTGGAAAGTAAGGAAGTGTTAAAGCAAACAAACAGCAAAGGAAAAAAAAAATCCTAAACCAATCCAATAAATGTGGTATGTCAAAAAGATACCAGAGTCAACTGAAAGAGCCTCCAGTGGTCAAAGTTGGAACAATTTGAGCAACAAAGTAAAAAAAAAAAAAAAAGTATTGGATTGTGACTCAAGGTATAAAACAAATATCCATGATTCTACACCGGTATAAATAAATACTTGACTAAATAAATGGAGGAGAAAAGACAAATTTCCTGTGCAGAATTCAAATAATTTATGTAGATATGCATCTTTCAAGGAGCTAGAGCATAACTCCCCGTACCTTAAGTGAGCTTTCTTCCTAAGAGTTTGGAAAGGCAGTTGGGGATAAAGAACAACTTTACATCTGGAGAGACCTGCCTAAGACTACCTCAGACAATTGACCAATGTTAACATCAACAATGACAAGTAATGTTCATAGTCTGTATCCTTTACATGATGTGATGAAAATGGCATTTCACCTTTGTCATCTTCCTCCTAAAAACCCGTAACCCCAGATTAATCATAAGAAAAACATCAGACAAATTTCACCAAAGGGGCATTCTACAAGACATCTAACTAGTACTCTTCAAACTATCAAGGTTGTCAAAAACAAAGAAAGTCTGAGAAACTGTCACTGCCAAGTTGAGCCTAAGGAGACATGACAACTGTAATGTGGTGTCGTGGGTGAGATCCTGGAACAAAATAGAACATTAGGCAAAGAAAAAGGAAATCTGAACAAAATATAGCTTTATTTAATAATAAAATATCCATATTGGTTCAATAGTTATGACAAATGTATCATTAATGTGTTAATAATAGGGGAAATGGGGTGCAGGGTTTATGGGAACTCTCTGTACTATATGCTTGATTTTGTCTTTTAAATCTAAACCTGTATGAAAAGATTAAGTTTATTTTTTAAAAAATTAATTATAAATATATTACATTTTGTACACATTCTAAGGTGGTAAACAGAAGAAGGGAAATAATAATTGAGGGACTCTACATCACTGTTTCTCAAAATGTTGTCCTAGGGATACCTGCATGAGAATCTTCTGAAAGAGCACAATAAATCAGATTTCTAGAACCTCTCCTGCCAAGTCCTACAGAAATGAAACTGTGGGAAGGAGAGTTCAGGAAACTTCATTTGAACAAGTTTGAATTTCATTGGTTAATGAAATATTCTACCTTAGTCTTAAAAATTGTTTTAGCATCTTTATTTACTTCAATAAAAGCAGCAAAAATAATCTCACCAAATAACACAGAAATAGTAGGTCAAACAAGTAAAAGCCTTCCCAAATAAATTTAATAAATAAATTAGGCTTTATATACTTTAATTATTTATAATCAGATCAATCATGATTATTTTCAATAACGTGCCCCAGAGATTGTCAAAATAAATCTCTCAGTACTAACTCAGTAGATAACTGATGCTTGTGTAAGTTAGAGCAGCAGAAAGTTATTCATTACTCATGTACCTGAATAGAATACCACCCTAAAGTGAGTTATGTTCATCTTATTATGCCTAAGAATACCCAGTGAATGTGTTAACTTTACCTAAATTTGATTCAAGTTGAAATATATAATGTGAGTAGAGAGCTGCTTCATCAAACTTTTAAGAGTCAAGTAAATTTGCCTTCAGCATACTAGTTGCTTCCTTCTGAAATACATAAAATTTAAGAGTAAAGTGTCATTGTGATGAAATGATCAAGGGAAGAAAGGCATGACCAGAGTGACTGAGGGGAATAATCAACAGAGAGCCTGACCCTTTCCATCCACATCATTCGTAGTTATTCTTAGAATTTCAAGTAGCATCGATTCTTCCATAGAGTGTTCCCCAAGAAAAGTGATATGTTTTAAGAGTAATACCAAGATTGTTTTTCTGGTGCAATTTGACTCATAGAAATGAGATATAAGAAGCTGTGTTTTTATTTTCTACTCTTTGCTCATCCTTGAGAATCTTGAAACCACAAAAGGAGAGAAAGATAAATAAGTTATTTCATGGTCCTTTTTGTGCTTCCTAGAAAATTATGTTTATTTCTCCTTTTACAAGAATAAAAATAAAGTCTTAAATATTTAATTTTGAGAAAAGTCTAATGCAATTGGGAGAAGACTAAAATGGCTGAAAATCTCACTCAAGAGTTTCAGTTACAATTGTATAACATTTGAATTTTGATATCTGGAATTCTCATGGATACTAAATAGGAGGAAATGATGTTGAAACTACTATAGCTGCCCAGAATTATGGTGACTTCTATCACCATCCACAATGAAAAGGGGCACCGTGAGGTGTGTGTGTGTGTGTGTGTGTGTGTGTGTGTGTGTGTGAGAGAAAATTATAGCTTTATAACTGTTAGATATTTAAAATATTCAGAACTATGCATTACAAGAGCTAAAAACACCAATGACATACACAAAATATGACATATATTAAAATACACATGGTCAATGCCAATCTCATTCCACTATATAAGATATTCATGAGGGAGGTGGAGCCACGATGGCCGAATAGGAACAGCTCCAGTCTACAGCTCTCAGCGTGAATGATGCAGAAGACGAATGATTTATGCATTTCCAACTGAGGTACCAGGTTGATCTCACTGGGGATTGTCGGACAGTGGCTGCAGCGCACCGAGCATGAGCTGAAGAAGGGTGAGGGATCACCTCACCCAGGAAGCGCAAGGGGTCAGGGAAGGAAAAGGGTGACAGATGACAACTGGAAAATTGGGTCACTCCCACCCTAATACTGCACTTTTGCGATGGTCTTAGCAAATGGCACACCAGGAGATTGTATCCCGTGCCTGGCTTGGAGGGTCCTATGCCCACGGAGCCTTGCTCATTGCTAGCACAGCAGTCTGAGATCAAACTGCAAGGCAGCAGCAAGGCGGGGGGAGGGGTGCCTGCCTTTGCCTAGGCTTGAGTAGGTAAACAAAGTGGCTGGGAAGCTCAAACTGGATGGAGCCCACCACAGCTCAAGGAGGCCTGCCTGCCTCTGCAGACGCCACCTCTAGGGGCAGGGCATAGCCAAACAAAAGGCAGGAGAAACCTCTGCAGTCTTAATTGTCCCTGTCTGACAGCTTTGAAGAGAGTGGTGGTTCTCCCAGCATGCAGCCTGAGATCTGAGAATGGACAGACTGCCTCCTCAAGTGGGTCCCTGAACCCCGAGTAGCCTAACTGGGCACCCCCCAGTAGGGGCAGACTGATACCTCACACAGTCAGGTACTCCTCTGAGACAAAACTTCCAGAGGAATGATCAGGCAGCAACATTTGCTGTTCACCAATATTCGCTGTTCAGCAGCCTCCACTGCTGATACCCAGGAAAACAGGGTCTGGAGTGGACCTCCATCAAACTCCAACAGACCTGCAGCTGAGGGTCCTGACTGTTAGAAGGAAAACTAACAAACAGAAAGGACATCCACACCAAAACCCCATCTGCACGTCACCATCATCAAAGATCAAAGGTAGATAAAACCACAAAGATGGGGAAAAAGCAGAATAGAAAAACTGAAAATTCTAAAAATCAGAGAGCCTCTCCTCGTCCAAAGGAACGCAGCTCCTCACCAGTAATGGAACAAAGCTGGATGGAGAATGACTTTGACAAGTTGAGAAAAGAGAGCTTCAGATGATCAAACTACTCCGAGCTAAAGGAGGAAGTTCGAACCCATAGCAAAGAAGTTAAAAACCTTGAAAAAAGATTAGACGAATGGCTAACTAGAACAACCAACGCAGAGAAGTCCTTAAAGGACCTAATGGAGCTGAAAACCACAGCACGAGAACTATGTGATGAATGCACAAGCCTCAGTAGCCGATTCGATCAACCGGAAGAGTATCAGTGATGGAAGATCAGATGAATGAAATAAAGGGAGAAGAGAAGTTTAGAGAAAAAAGAAAAAAAGAAACGAACAAAGCCTCCAAGAAATATGGGACTATGTGAAAAGACCAAATCTACTTCTGACTGGTATACCTGAAAGTGACAGGGAGAATGGAACCAAGTTGGAAAACACTCTGCAGGATATTATCCAGGAGAACTTCCCCAACCTAGCAAGGCAGGCCAACATTCAAATTCAGGAAATACAGAGAATGCCACAAAGATACTCCTCAAGAAGAGCAACTCCAAGAAAAATAATTGTCAGATTCACCAAAGTTGAAATCAAGGAAAAAATGTTAAGGACAGCCAGAGACAAAGGTTGGGTTACCACAAAGGGAAGCCCATCAGACTAACAGCAGATCTCTTGGCAGAAGCTCTACAAGCCAGAAGAGAGTGGAGGCCACTATTCAACATTCTTAAAGAAAAGAATTTTCAACCCACAATTTCATATCCAGCCAAACTAAGCTTCATAAGTGAAGGAGAAATAAAATACTTTACAGACAAGCAAATACTGGGAGATTTTGTCACCACCAGGCCTGCCCTAAAAGAGCTCCCGAAGGAAGCACTAAACATGGAAAGGAACAACCAGTACCAGCCACTGCAAAAACATGCCAAATTGTAAAGACCATCATGGCTAGGAAGAAACTGCATCAACTAACAAGCAAAATAAGCAGCTAACATCTAATGACAGGATCAAATTCACACATAACAATATTAAACTTAAATGTAAATGGGTTAAATGCTCCAATTAAAAGACACAGACTGGCAAATTGGATAAAGAGTCAAGACCCATCAGTGTGCTATATTCAGGAAATCCATCTCTTGTGCAGAGACACACATAGGCTCAAAATAAAGGGATGGAGGAAGATCTACCAAGCAAATGGAGAACAAAAAAGTCAGGGGTTGCATCCTAGTCTCTGATAAAACAGACTTTAAACCAACAAAATCAAAAGAGACAAAGAAGGCCATTACATAATGGTAAAGGGATCAATTGAACAAGAAGAGGTAACTATCCTAAATATATATGCACCCAAGACAGGAGCACCCAGATTCATAAAGCAAGCCCTTAGAGACCAACAAAAAGACTTAAGACTCCCACACAATAATAATGGGAGACTTTAACACCCCACTGTCAACATTAGACAGATCAACGAGACAGAAAGTTAACAAGGATATCCAGGAATTGAACTCAGCTCTGCACCAAGCAGACCTAATAGACATCTACAGAACTCTCCACCCAAATCAACAAAATATACATTCTTCTCAGCACCACACCACACCTATTCCAAAATTGACCACACAGTTGGAAGTAAAACACTCCTTAGCAAATGTAAAACAACAGAAATTATAACAAACTGTCTCTCAGACCACAGTGCAACCAAACTAGAACTCAGGATTAAGAAACTCACTCAAAACTGCTCAACTACATGGAAACTGAACAACCTGTTCCTGAATGACTACTGGGTACCTAACAAAATGAAGGCAGAAATAAAGATGTTCTTTGAAACCAATGAGAACAAAGACACAACATACTAGAATCTCTGGGACACATTAAAAGCAGTGTGAAGAGGGAAATTTATAGCACTAAATGCCCACAAGAGAAAGCAGGCAAGATCTAAAATTGACACCCTAATATCAGAATTAAAAGAACTAGGGAAGCAAGAGCAAACACATTCAAAAGCTAGCAGAAGGCAAGAAATAACTAAGATCAGAGCAGAAATGAAGGAGATAGAGATACAAAAATCCCTTCCAAAAATCAATGAATCCAGGAGCTGGTTTTTTGAAAAGATCCACAAAATTGATAGACTGCTAGCAAGATTAATAAAGAAGAAAAGAGAGAAGAATCAAATAGACACAATAAAAAATGATAAAGGGGATATCACCGCCAATCCCACAGCAATACAAACTACCATCAGAGAATACTATAAACACCTCTATGCAAATAAACTAGAAAATCTAGAAGAAATGGATAAATTCCTCGACACATACACCCTCCCAAGACTAAACCAGGAAGAAGCTGAATCTCTGAATACACCAATAACAGGCTCTGATATTGAGGCAATAATTAATAGCTTACCAACCAAAAAGAGTCCAGGACCAGATGGATTAACAGCTGAATTCTACCAGAGGTACAAGGAGGAGCTGGTACCATTCCTTCTGAAACTATTTCAATCAATAGAAAAAGAGGGAATCCTCCCTAGCTCATTTTATGAGGCCAGCATCCTCCTGATACCAAAGCCGGGCAGAGACACAACCAAAAAAGAGAATTTTAGACCAATATCCTTGATGAACATTGATGCAAAAATCCTCAATAAAATACTGGCAAACCGAATCCAGCAGCACATCAAAAAGCTTATCCACCATGATCAAGTGGGCTTCATCCCTGGGATGCAAGGCTGGTTCAACATATGCAAATCAATAAATGTAATCCAGCATATAAACAGAACCAAAGACAAAAATCACACGATTATCTCAATAGATGCAGAAAAGGCCTTTGACAAAATTCAACAGCCCTTCATGCTAAAAACTCTCAATAAATTGGGTATTGATGGGACGTATCTCAAAATAATAAGAGCTATCTATGACAAACCCACAGCCAATATCATACTGAATGGACAAAAACTGGAAGCATTCCCTTTGAAAACTGGCACAAGACAGGGATGCCCTGTCTCACCAGTCGTATTTAACACAGTGTTGGAAGTTCTGGCCAGGGAAATCAGGCAGGAGAAGGAAATAAAGGGCATTCAATTAGGAAAAGAGGAAGTCAAACGGTCCCTGTTTGCAGATGACATGATTGTATATCTAGAAAACCCCATCGTCTCAGCCCAAAATCTCCTAAAACTGATAAGCAACTTCAGCAAAGTCTCAGGATACAAAATCAATGTGCAAAAATCACAAGCATTCTTATACACCAATAACAGACAAACAGAGAGCCAAATCATGAGTGAACTCCCATTCACAATTGCTCCAAAGAGAATAAAATACCTAAGAATCCAACTTACAAGGGATGTGAAGGACCTCTTCAAAGAGAACTACAAACTACTGCTCAATGAAATAAAAGAGGATACAAACAAATGGAAGAACATTCCATGCTCATGGGTAGGAAGAATCAATATCGTGAAAATGGCCATACTGCCCAAGGGAATTCATAGATTCAATGCCATCCCCATCAAGCTACCAATGACTTTCTTCACAGAATTGGAAAAAACTACTTTAAAGTTCATATGGAACCAAAAAAGAGCCCGCATCGCCAAGTCAATCCTAAGCCGAAAGTACAAAGCTGGAGGCAGCATGCTACCTGACTTCAAATTATGCTACAAGGCTACAGTAACCAAAAAAGCATGGTACTGGTACCAAAACAGAGATATAGACCAATGGAACAGAACAGAGCCCTCAGAAATAATGCCACACATCTATAACTATCTGATCTTTGACAAACCTGAGAAAAACAAGCAATGGGGAAAGGATTCCCTATTTAATAAATGGTGCTGGGAAAACTGGCTAACCATATGTAGAAAGCTGAAACTGGATCCCTTCCTTACACCTTATACAGAAATAAATTCAAGGTGGATTAAAGACTTAAATGTTAGACCTAAAACCATAAAAACTCTAGAAGAAAACCTAGGAAATACCATTCAGGACATAGGCATGGGCAAGGACTTCATGTCTAAAACACCAAAAGCAATGGCAACAAAAGCCAAAATTGACGAATGGGATCTACTTAAACTAAAAGAGTTTCTGCACAGCAAAAGAAACTACCGTCAGAGTGAACAGGCAACCTACAGAATGGGAGACAATTTTTGCAATCTACTCATCTGACAAAGGGCTAATATCCAGAATCTACAAAGAACTCAAACAAATTTACAAGAAAAAAACAAACAACCCCATCAACAAGTGGGCGAAGGATATGAACAGACACTTCTCAAAAGAAGACATTTATGCAGCCAACAGACATGTGAAAAACTTCTCAGCATCATTGGCCATCAGAGAAATGCAAATCAAAACCACAATGAGATACCATCTCACACCAGTTAGAATGGCGATCATTCAAAAGTCAGGAAACAACAGGTTCTGGAGAGGATGTGGAGAAATAGGAACACTTTTACACTGTTGGTGGGACTGTAAACTAGTTCAACCATTGTGGAAGACAGTGTGGCAAATCCTCAGGGATCTAGAACTAGAAATACCATTTGATCCAGCCATCCCATTACTGGGGATATACCCAAAGGATTATAAATCATGCTGCTATAAAGACACATGCACACGTATGTTTATTGCGGCACTATTCACAATAGCAAAGACTTGCAGCCAACCCAAATGTCTAACAATGATAGACTGGATTAAGAAAATGTGGCACATATACACCATGGAATACGATGCAGCCATAAAAAATGATGAGTTCATGTCCTTTGTAGGGACATGGATAAAGCTGGAAACCATCATTCTCAGCAAACTATCACAAGGACACAAAACCAAACACCACATGTTCTCACTCATAGGTCGGAATTGAACAATGAGAACACATGGACACAGGAAGGGGAACATCACCCACCAGGGACTGTTGTGGGGTGAGGGGAGGGATAGCATTAGGAGATATACCTAGTGTTAAATGATGAGTTAATGGATGCAGCACACCAATATGGCACATGTATACATATGTAACAAACCTGCACATTGTGCACATGTACCCTAAAACTTAAAGTATAATAAAAAAAACAAATAAGATAGTCATGAAATTTATCTTTTTTTATAACTAAGTTTAATTTATATTCTAATCACTAACTGGCAGTAACTTAATCACAGTCATTTCGGTGTCTCTCTACATATTTTCCCTGAGTTAGTGGCTACATTCTTTGGGACTTATATAGTGACATATTATGAATGATATAGATAGAAATCTGGGCATTTTTAAAATCATCTCTGTAATATTACTTTGCAAGCAGCTAGTATGTTTGTGTTCCCAGGTAGTCTTCTGTCTTGGCTTCATGCACATCCACCTTGTCTTGAAAACAAGGCATCTACAGTTTCACTGGCTCTCTGTGCCGAGGCCACACTGCTCTCTGCCACACAGAAAAGTATTTCTGCTGCTCCCTGAGCACTGCAGTGAAACATGGAGATTCTGGAGGAATGCTGAAGGCCCATTTTCCTAGACATCCTACACATACATTTCTGTAGGTATTATATGCTCTGGTGCAGAGAAATTGAGAAGCCTTTCATTTCCTAAGATCTCCCCGAAAAAGAATGCACAAGATCACTCCACTCTCATAGTTCACCAAGCCCATTTAGGGGTGGAGGATGTTTTACCTCTCCTGGACTTTGTAGTTAATAGTGGAGAATAGAAGAAAAGACTAATAGCTCTTTTTCCCCTTCTCTCTTCTCCCCACTACTCCTCAATCTGGAATATTCTTTGTATTGTCAGTGGGGCAAGGGAAAAACCTGGCTCTTATTTATCTTGTATTTTTCTAAATATTTTGTACAATATTTGGACCATGATGTTTGTAACTCATTTTTCAAAAAACTGATTGTCTGTTTTCTGCGGTAACAAAACTGCCTTGATCCATTGGATGCCTTGTGGTCTAACTGCTGGAAATGAGGGCAGATCACAAGGCAACTTGGACACACTAGAGGAGAGAGAGGAATGCATAATTTACTATTAGAACTATCATTCTGCTAAACGTGTATATATCACAGGAAATAGTCGTCCATCCTTCTATACTTGTGGCTCTTACTAGAAACATAGCTGATATTCTTAGAAATGTTATAAAATTGAGAGGAAATATTATCATATTAGAAAGTTTTCACACAAATACAGATTATCTTTCCATTCAGGACAGCTTAGTTATACAACACAAGTATACTCATGCTGGGTAAAGCTGAATTCACTGAATATGCACCACTACAAAAATATAAACTGGAATGAAGACATCAGCTTATGTCTATTTTATTTATCAGCTAATATTATCTTGATAAATATGAAAGAACAACTCATAGATGTTCTGTGTGTACTAAAAAATGCTTAGGATGGGTGAAGAGTCTGTATAAGGAAACATTTACATGTATATTTTCATTAATAAATACTTTAAATTTAAATCTTAGTCTTAAAAATTCACCTTTCTTTACTAAGAAGCCAGAGAATATTCCTTCTTATCTCTGATTTTATTTCCAATTTTGAATGACATACATTATTTCTCGAAGGAAGAAATACACTAAAGTAAGTGATTTTAAGTTATTTATGGTCAGTTGCTCTAGTTTATATTTTATGCATACCCAGAAAGGGTATCCACAATGAGCACTCAACCTATGTGAAATGGAGCCAAGAATATAGAGACATGATGAAAAAGGAAGAGAATCCAGGTGTTGTTTGAAATTAATCAGAAATTTACAAAAACATTAAGAACACTCTTTAGATGGGTATAACATCCTAGACTATTCTAGTTCTAACATGAGGAGTCTCAAGCTCCATCAAACTTATCACAATCATCTATCTCTAACTCTATTCAGCAAAGAAGAGCAATAAATTGGGGACACTTCTCACCTGGAAGTGTCAAGATAAGTCAAAATCAGAATAAACAGAGGTGTGTAGAGATGAAGAACTCTTGGAAAACACTCAGACAAATCCAAATGACAAAGCTAACAAACAAAACTTATATCCCAGAACACTGTCTCAAACAAGACTGGTATCTTTTTTGTAGAACAAATGTTTATTTAACAACTACAAAGCAGTGATTTATTTTCATCAGAGTATTTACCGTCTCACGTATAGCTTTGCACGTATAAATCTATTGTTTTGTAGCCTGACAGCTCTCAGTGATTCTCAATGGATGTGTGTATCTGTGTGTGTGCATGTTTGGTGGCATGTACACACCAAGTTGTTGTGACTCTAGGAACTCTCCGTGCATCTCTTCTACCTAATTCTGGCCCACCAGGTTGTCGTTCATTGTCCAGTGAGGTGTTTTTTTTTTTCTTTAATGGCCAAAATGATAATTATCTAAGAAACGAAACATTATGATTTATATATATTAAATTAACCAGTATGAAAAACAAAAAAAGTTTAAGTATCCTAAGCCTTATTTTTTTAAGAAAAACCCAACTCTAAATTGTATGTAAGACTAAAATTAGGCCAGGCGCGGTGGCTCACGCCTGTAATCCCAGCACTTTGGGAGGCCAAGGGGGGCGGATCATGAGGTCAGGAGATCGAGACCATCCTGGCTAACATGGTGAAACCCCATCTCTACTAAAAATACAAAAAATTAGCCGGGCGATGTGGCAGGCACCTGTAGTCCCAGCTACTAGGGAGGCTGAGGCAGGGGAATGGTGTGAACCCAGGAGGTAGAGCTTGCAGTGAGCCAAGATCACGCCACTGCACTCCAGCCTGGGCGACAGAGCAAGACTCTGTCTCAAAAAAAAAAAAAGACAAAAATTAGCCACATTTTTTTCTCCTCATCAAAGAGGATAATAGATTAGGCTCAATGTGCATACTTGAAACATTGTTAAACAAACTCTTTAATACCACGTTACCCTTTCTAAGCATTAAAGGGAATTTTCCACTGATCATCACTCATGAGTTAATGATATTCTGCATGCTACAGCTATTAAATTGCATTGTAGGTAGCCTGTACCAGAGATGTCCGACTTGTTCACCCTTCACATCCAACTCCCTCATCTAATTGGCCCACTAAGAAAACACTTCTTTTAACCCTTATCTTTTTTTTCCATTCCCTGCATAATGCTAATGGATATAAATCTGCCTGACAGCAGTTCTGTAAAAGTATACAACTTGTCCCTAAAGTGTACAGCCTTTTATTGGTTGTCTCCCTTTGTGCCAGAATGACACAAATTGCCTTCTGACAAAAGCAGGATCAATTAAACTGATAACAGTAGACTTATTATGTGAGAACAGTGAGAGGTACCTTCACCATAATGCCAGAGTTCATTATACACATCCTGTGACTCCACAAAGGAACAAAGACACATATCCCCTATTAAAAGCACTTGCTGCTAGTAGTTGGCTATGTAGAGAAAGAACTTAGGGGAATGCACCATATATTCTCTTTGAAAGCAAAAATGCTGATACCTCACTGAGCTGAGGCCAATGACAGCAGCCTGAGTAAGGATAAAGAAAAGGCAGAATAATACAGACTACAGAGAGACAGTCAAAACACATCCTGTCATATAAGCAGCTCTGGAATCTGTAAAATACATTTTAATTGTACGGAAAAAGTATATATTATTTTTATCAGCCCTGTTTCTTAATATACTGAATTTTGAAATTGATCAAAGATCCATTAGCTATCATTGATGAGAAAATGCAAAAGATTTCCAGCCTTTATTCACAATTAAAGCAAAACCAAAAAAACAACTGTTATTAGAAAACCTGTGAATGTGATTTGATCTGTCACTATATCTATATCTTGGTTATTGAGAGTATTTATTTCATATATTTTAAAAATTATACAAATTGAGACATGACTGTGTATGACCCTAAATGGAAGGGAGATTGATTTACTATGTGGAAACAAAATGCCTAAAATATTGTACAATTTATTATTTGAAAACAGCTTTGGCATTCCCAGTTAACTTTCTTTGCAGAACTTCTCAAGCCTGTCATAAATGTACATTCCCTGGAGTCTCATGTTTGTCTGTTTATAGGGTTTGGCTCTGAGTCCCCACCCAAATCTCATCTTGAACTGTAGCTCCCATAATTCCCACATGTTGTGGGAGGGAACCGGTAGGAGACGAGTGAATCACGGGAGCAGTTTCGCCCATACTGTTCTCGTGGTAGTGAATAAGTATCTCGAGATCTGATGGTATTATAAGGGGAAACCCCTTTCACTTGTCTCTCATTGTCTCTTGCCTGAGGCCATGTAAGATGTGCCTTTCACCTTCTGCCATGATTGTGAGGCCTCCCCAGCCATGTGAAACTGTGAGTTCATTAAACCTCTTTTTCTTTATAAATTATCCAGTCTCAGGTATTCTTTATCAGCAGAGTGAAAATGGACTAATACTTCTACTTACCAACACATTTTGATTTTTTCTGTCTAGCACAGGTTGAAAGAGCTACTCCTCCTGTAAATGTGAGAACTATAAACAAAATTGTCATTTTTAGTTACATGATCAATAAAATCACAATGCTTGCTAATTAGCTTTCATATTTTATAACTGATAATATTATTTTGTGAAAAAGTATTCAGTATAACTGATTTGAAACATTTTTTACATCCTAGAAATGAGAATTTTTCTAAAGAAAATAAATTGCAGTTGAATATCCAGTCAAGAGTAAAATTCAGAAATGATAACCAATCTTTCTCACATAAGACTTTATCCATAAAATTATTGTCTATTTCCATAAAAATTATAACCTTGATAATTAAACCTAGTAGTAGATTGAATTGATCTAATCATAATACTTTAACATATGGTAATTCTCTTGGTACATTCAAGAGGCCTAATTTGAGACTATCTGCCATGAAAGCCACATTTAGAAGTGCCTTCAAGTCTTCAGTTTCCTGCCCAGAAAATTTCTGTTAAGAATGTTGGTGCTATAAGGTGGCAGAAGGACGAACATCCACTTGCATGGCTGTGCCATATACTATACTAGTCCCTGAGTTCTTATTCCCTAAAAACGTACAGCACAAATCCAAGAGAAGAGTATATTGGTTTGAACAAAGCAGGAACTAAAATAAGTAGTATATCTGGGAGGTGATATCAGCAAGCACTGAGATAGCAGGAAAGCCAAGGAAAGAGGAAGCCATAAATGTTCTAAAATGGATTTTATCCTGCCCCAGTTGGATCTTGGGAGTCCTCTGAGAGTCTGAGGGGAAATGCCTCTGAATTCTGCACAAAGTAATATTTCCTGGGATCTAATAGCAGTTCTGATGTTTAAAGAGAAACTCAAAATACTTGGTTGCCTTCTCAGAGTAGACATTGACTGCTCCCTGCTCATACTCTACCTTAATGAGCTATTTCTCATCTCTATCATTCCTTCTCTTCCTAACTGCCTGTTTAGAGTCTCTGGGTTTGAGTCTTATTCAACTAGTTGACATATGGTATACAGTACTGGACACTGTTGTTCATTCTTAGGTCATTCTGAGCTACACTAGATGATTAACCAGTCAATAGATAATTGGATGTAAGTCACTCTATCTTCTGTTCAAGGTGTTGAAGATATGGGGTGTAGATTATATCAACTCTTTCATTAGGAATGTATCATAAAGCATCTCAGTATAAAACAGGCATTATGAGGTTTCCCAGGACAGGACTTTTTAACTGGCAAACAAATGGCTTGACTATTCTAATCATGGAGGTTGATGACATTTCTTCCACATATAATCTGTGACAAATGACACGTGCACAGTCCCTCATTCTCTGAATGCATTTCACAACTCCTGATACAGTGCCTCATATTCTATACTCAGAAGCCACTCAATAAATATTATGGACTGACTCAAAATTCTAAGAAAATGATGATATTGTACAAAGCAGGCAAATATTGGGTATAAGTGCCTACCCAAGTGAGTCAGTTGATTCAGCAGGTCATAACTTATACTGCTGGCTTATATCACCATTCCAGTACAGAATATTATCAATCCAAATTGAAAATCCTACCCTTGTCAGCAGCTACTAGTCTCCTGACAGGACATGCCTGTGTATTTATGAAGTGCTAAGAGCAAGTAATGAAAATCCTTTAGAGACAAAAGAACAATGAGGAATAGATACCCCAAACCCAAATATAGTTTTAGTTCTTCAAGTCACTTCAACACATCACTACATTGAGCAAAATATTTAAGACCACAGGCAAGAATGATTGAGAACCCAATTTGGAAAAAAGAAATTGTTACAAGTAAAACTCTCCCAGACTACCAAGGTTCTTATTGGTTTTCATTGCAAATCTTGTCAAAGAGCTTTAGGAAGACAACAAAACTTTCAGTGTCTCTAACTCTCCCCTAATCTTAGTCCTAAAGATCCATTCATTGTTGTAAATACTGAAGAGATGAATAAGTGATTATTAGAAGGGAGGAGGGTGGAAGGGAAAAAAAGAGAAAGGGAGGGAGAGAGAAATGGAGGAAGGGAGAGAGAAAGGGAGGGAGTGAGGAAGGAAGGAAGGAAAGAAGGAAGGAAGGAAAGAAGGAAGGAGGGAAGGAAGCTTATATGTATGATTTTTAAAGGTATTTCACTCATACTAACTTATTCTCAAAGCTTTTTAAGGGAGAATAGAGAGTTACTCTGAGAGTCCTTTCAAAGGAACCAGATGATATGTTTAAATGATATAGTTATGAACTGATGGAATCCAGTCTACACTAGAATTTTTTGCCCATTGCTTTATCATTACACCAAAAGGCACTCTGTGATTCTGTAGGTAACATCTACTTTTGGGATGTAATTTCAATATCCATTACTTGAGCCCAGATCATTTCTGCAACCACAAGTCATATACATTAAGCTGCTGGCTGAAGTCTTCCCTCTATATGTCCAGTAAATAAGTCAAACCCACAAAGTTCACCACATAACTCCGTCTTTCGATTAAACTTTACCTGCTCCTGCCTGTTCTCCAATAAACTATTCCTTTTTAAAATTTTTAGTTTTTTAGGTACACAGTAAGGGTATATATTTATGGGGTACATGAGATGTTTTCACACAGACATGGAATGTGTAATAATCAAATCTTGGAAGATGGGGTATCCATCCCCTCAAGCATTTATCCTTTGTTTTACAAACACTCCAGTTATACTCTTTTAGTTACTTTAAAATGTACAAGTTAATTGTTATTGACAAGAGTCACCTTGTTATGTTATCGAATACTAGGTCTTATTCATTACTTGTATTTTTTGTACCCATTAATCATTCTCACCACCCTACCCCCCCACCTACCCTTCCCAGCTTCTGGTAACCATCCTTCTACTCTCTATCTCCATGGATTCAATTGTTTTGACATTTATATTACACAAGTGAGAATATGGAAGTATGTCTTTCACTGCCTGGCTTATTTTGCTTAACATAATGACCTCCAGTTCCATCCCTGTTGTTTCAAATGACCTAACCTGTTTCTTTTTTTATGGCTGAATAGTACTACACTGTGTATAAGTACCACGTTTTCTTTATCTATTCATCTGTTAATGAACACATAGGTTGTTTCCAAATCTTGGCTATTGTAGACAGAGCTGCAAGAAACATAAAAGTGCAGATATCTCTTCACTATTCTTACTGCCTTTCTTTTGAGTATATACCCAGCAGTGGGATTGCTGGATTGTACAGTAGCCCTATTTTTAGTTTTTTGAGGAACCTCCAAAGTTTTCTCTATAGTGATTGTATTCATTTATATTCCCACCAACAGTGTACAAGTGTTACCTTTCCTCCACACCCTTGCCAGGATTTGTTGTTGCCTGTCTTGGATATAAGTCATTTTAACAGGGATGGGATGATATCTCATTGTAGTTTTGATTTGCATTTCTCTGATGATCAATGATGTTAAGTATGTTTTCACATGCTTGTTTGCCATTTGTATGTCTTCTAAGCAATGTCTATTCAAATATTTTGCCCATTTTTGACCTGATTATTGGATATTTTCCTATAGAATTGTTTGAGCTCCTTATATATTCTGGTTATTAATCCTTTGTCAGATGGGTAGTTTGCAAATATTTTCTCCCATTCTGTGGGTTGTCTCTTCACTTTGTTGATTGTTACCTTTGCTGTCAAAAGCTTTTAGACTTGATACGATCCCATCCGTCCATTTTTACTTTGGTTGCCTGTGCTTGTGGGGTAATATTTAAGAAATCTTTGCCCAGACCAATGTCCCGCAGAGTTTTTCCAATGTTTTCTTGTAGTAGTTTCATAGTTTGAAGTCCTGGATATGTCTTTAATCCACTTTCATTTTATTTTTGTGTATGTTGAAAGATAGAGGTCTGGTTTCATTTTTCTACATATGGATATCCAGTTTTCCAAGCAACATTTAATAAAGACTGTCTTTTCCCCAATGTACGTTCTCAGCACTTTTGCAAAAAATGAGTTCATTGTAAGTGTATGTATTTGTTTCTGGGTTCTTTATTCTGTTCCATTGGTCTATGTGTCTGTTTTTATGTCAGTACCATGCTTCTTTGGATACTACAGTTCTATAGTATAATTTGAAGTCAGGTAATGTGATTCCTCCAGTTTTAGTTTGTTGGTTTGTTTGTTACATAAAATAGCCTTGGTTATTCTGGGTCTTTTGTGGTTCCATATAAATTTTAAGGTTGTTTTTTCTATTTCTGTGAAGAATGTCATTCGTATTTTCATAAGAATTACATTATATCTGTAGACTCCTTTGGGTAGTATGGACATTTTAACAATATAGATTCTTCAAAAATGGAAGGATTCCAAAAATGGAATATCTTTGGCTAATTCCTAGGTATTTAATTTTATGTATGGCTATTGTGAATTTGACTACATTTTTATTTTTCATATTGTTCACATATAGAAGTCCTGCTGATTTTGCATGGTGGCGGGCACCTGTAGTCCCAGCTACTTGGGAGGCTGAGGCAGGAGAATGGCATGAACCCGGGAGGCAGAGCTTGCAGTGAGCCGAGATGGTGCCACTGCACTCCAGCCAGGGCAACAGAGCGAGACTCCATCTCAAAAAAAATAATAATAATAAAAAATAAAAATAAAAAAAAAGTCCTGCTGATTTTTATATGGAAATTTCGTGGCCTGCAACTTTACTGAATTTGTTTATTAGTTCTAACAGTTTTCTTGTGAAGTCTTTAGGCTTTTTCAAATATAAGATCACATCTGCAAACAAGGGTAATTTGACTTTTTCCTTTCCAATTTAGATGCCCTTTATATCTTTTACTTGTCTGATTGTTCTAGCTAGAATTTCCAGTACTATGTTGAATAACAGTGGTGAAAGTAGGCATTCTTGTCATGTTCCAGATCATAAAGGAAAGGCTTTCATTTTTTTACCATTTAGTATGATACTAGCTGTGGGTTTGTCATATATGGCTTTCACTATGTTGAGGTATATTATTTCTATACCTAGTTTTTTGAGGGTTTTTATCATGAAGGATGTTAAATTTTATCAAACACTTCTTCAGTATCAATTTAAATGTTCATATACTTTTTGTCCTTCATTCTGCTGATATGATATATGACCCTGATTTGCATATGTTGAACCATCCTTGCATCTTGGGGATAAATCCCACTTGGTCATAATAAATGACCTTTTCAGTGTATTGTTGAATTCAGTATCCTAATATTTTATTGAGAATTTCTGCATCAATATTCATTGGGAATACTGGCCTGTAGTTTTCTTTTTCTTTTCTTTCTTTCTTTTTTTTTTTTTTTTTTTTTTGTTGCTGTCTTGTCTGGTTTTGGTATCAGGGCAATACTGGCAGTGTAGATTAGTTTGGAAGTATTCCCTCTTCCTCTATTTTTCAGAAAAGTTTGAGTAGGATTAGTACTAATTCTTTATATGTTTGATAGAATTCAGTAGTGAAGCCATCAGGTCCCAGGTTTTTCTTTACTTGGAGACTTTTTATTACAGCTTCAATCTTGTTACTTGTTTGGGTGTGGTTCACATGTTAATGTCTTTCTGGTTCAATCTTAGTAGGTTGTATATGTCTAAGAGTTTATCAGTTTCTTCTAGATTTTCGAACTTATTGGCATAGCATTGCTCAGAGTAGCCACTAATGAATGATCCTTTGAATTTCAATGGTATCAGTTGTGATGTCTTTTTTTTAATCTCTGATTTTATTTATATGGGTTTCTCTCCATTTGGCAAAAGGTTTGTCAATTTTGTTAATCTTTTCAAAGCATCAGCTTTTTGTTTTATTAATCTTCTGTATTTTTTTCATTTCAACTTCATTTATTTATGCTATGATCTTTATTATTTATTTTTTCTAGTAATTTAGGGTTTGGTTGCTCTTGCTTTTCTAGTTCTTTAAGATTCATCACTAGGTTGTTAATTTGAAACTTTTCTTTTTTTAATATAGGCCCTATAGCTATACAAATTCCTCTTAGTAGTGCTTTTCCTATCCCATAGGTTTTGGTGTATTATGGTTCCATTATCATTTGTTTAAAGAAACTTTTCAATTTCCTTCTCAATTTCTTCATTGACCACTGGTCATTCAGGAGCATGTTGTTTAGTTTTCATGTATTTATAGTTTCCAAAATTCCTCTTGCTATTGATTTCTACTTTTATTTCATTGCAGTCAGAGAAGATATTTCAATTTTTTTGAATGTTACAAGACTTGTTTTGTAACCTAACATATGTTCTATCCTTGAGAATGATCCATGTGCTGAGGAAAAATATACGTATTCTGCAGATGTTGGAGGAAATGTTCTGTAAATATCTATGAGATTCATTTGGTCTATAGTGCAGAGTAAATCTGATTTTTTTATTATTTTCTGTCTGGAAGATCTGTCCAATGCTCAAAGTGGGGTGTTGAAGTCTCCTGCTATTTATTGGTGTCTACCTCTATTTTTAGTTCTAATAATATTCGCTTTCTATATCTGAGTGCTCCAGTGTTGGGTACATATATATTTACAATTGTAATATCCTCTTGCTGAACTGACTCGTTTATCACTATATAGTGACATTCTTTGCTCTTATGGTTTTTGTTTTGAAATTTACTTTGTATGATACAAAGGTAGCTACTCCTGCACTTTTACGGTTTCTATTGGCATGGAATGTCTTTTTCCATCTCTTTATTTTTAGTCTATGTGTGTCTTTATAGGTGACATGTGTTTTTTGTTGGCAACACATTATGAATCTTGTTTTTTATCCAGTCAGCCACTCTATGTCTTTTGATTGGAGAGTTTATCCATTTATATTCAATGCTATTATTGATAAGTAAGAACTTACTCCTGCCATTTTGTTATTGTTTTCTGGTTGTTTTATGGTATTCTCTTTCTTCTTTCTTTCCTTCCTGTCTTTCTTTCAGTAAGGGTGGTTTTACCTGGTGACATAATTTAGTTTTTTTGCTTTTTATTTTTTTTGTTACCATTGTATGTTCTTTGGTTTGAGGTTACCATGAGGCTTGCAAATACTATCTTATAACCCATTATTTTAACCAGATAACAACACCGTTTGCAAAAATAAACAGGTAAAGAAGCAAAAAGGAAACAAATAAAGACTCTATACCTTAACTTAATTCTCCCACTTTTTGACTTTTTGTTGTCACTATTTATAACTTATTGTACTCTCTCCATCTTGAAAAGTTACTTTAGTTATTATTTTTTTATTGGTTCATCCATTAGTCTTCCTACATAAGATATGAGTAGTTTACACACCAGAGTTACAGTATTATAATATTCTGTGTTTTTCTTTGTAGTTACTATTACTAGTGAGTTTTGTACCTTCAGGTAATTACCTATTACTTATTAACATCCTTTATTTTCTGACTGAAGTACTCCCTTTAGCATTTCTTGTAAGATAAGTCTGGTGTTGATGAAATCTCTCAGCTTTTGCTTGTTTGGGAAAGTCTTTATTTCTTCTTCATGTTTGAAGGATAATTTTACCAGTTATACTATTCTAGGTTAAAAGTTATTTTCCTTTCACTCTTTAAATAAACCATGCCACTTTCTCCTGGCCTGTGAAGTTTCCACTGAAAATTCTGCTGTCAGTCACATTGGATCTCAGTTGTATGATATTTGTTTCTTTTCTCTTTCCACTTTTAGGATCCTTTCATCATTCTTGAACTTTGGGAGTTCAATTATTAAACATCTTGAGGTACTCTTCTTTGAGTCAATTGTTTGGTGTTCTATTACCTTCTTGTACTTGGATGTTGATATCTTCTTCTAGGTTTGTAAACTTCTCTATTATTATTCCTTTGAGTAAACTTTCTATCTCTATTTCTTTCTCTACCTCCTCTTTAAAGCCAATAGCTCTTAGATTTGCCCTTTTGAGGCTATTTTCTAGATATTCTAGGCATGCTTTATTGTTTCTAATTCTTTTTTCTCTTGTCTGCTCTGACAGTATATTTTCAAATAGCCTGTCTCCAAGCTCACTGATTCTTCCTTCTGCTTGATCCATTCTTCTATTAAAAGATCCTGATGCAGGGGATTGCTGGCAAGATGGCCGAATAGGAACAGCTCCAGTCTGCAGCTCCCAGCGAGGTCAACGCAGAAGGCAGGTGATTTCTGCATTTCCAACTGAGCCTCCACTGGTGATACCCAGGCAAACAGTGTCAGGAGTGGACCTCCAGCAAACTCCAGCAGACGGGCAGCAGAAGGGCTGACTGTCAGAAGGAAAATTAACAAGCAGAAAGGAACAGCACATCCAATCAAAGACCCCATCCGAAGGTCACCAACATCAAAGACCAAAGGTAGATAAATCCACAAAGATGAGGAGAAACCAGTGCAAAAAGGCTGAAAATTCCGAAAACCAGAACACCTCTTCTCCTCCAAAGGATCACAACTCATCGCCAGCAAGGGAACAAAACTGGACGGAGAATGAGTTTGATGAATTAACAGAAGTAGGTGTCAGAAGACGGGTAATAACAAACTCCTGCAAGTTAAAAGAGCATGTTCTAACCCAATGCAAGAAAGGTAAGGACCTTGAAAAATGGTTAGACGAATTGTTAACTAGAATAACCAGTGTAGAGAAGAACATAAACGACCTGATGGAGCTGAAAAACACAGCACGAGAACTTTGTGAAGCATACACAAGTTTCAATAGCCAAATCGATCAAGCAGAAGAAAGGATATCAGTCATTGAAGATCAACTTAATGAAATAAAGAGAGAAGACAAGATTAGAGAAAAAAGAATTAAAAGGAATGAACAAAGCCTCCAAGAAACATAGGACTATGTGAAAAGACCAAATCTACATTTGATAGGTATACCTGAAAGTGACAGGGAGAATGGAACCAAGTTGAAAAACACTCTTCAGGATATTATCCAGGAAAACTTCCCCAACCTAGCAAGGCAGGCCAACATTCAAATTCAGGAAATACAGAGAACACCACAAAGAAAAGAATTTTCAACCCAGAATTTCATATCCAGCCAAACTAAGCTTCATAAGTGAAGGAGAAATAAAATACTTTACAGACAAGCAAATGCTGAGTGATTTTGTCATCACCAGGTCTGCCTTAAAAGAGCTCCTAAAGGAAGCACTAAATGTGAAAAGGAACAACAAGTACCAGCCATTGCAGAAACACACCAAATTATAAAGAACATCAACAATATCAAGAAAATGCTCTAACTAAGGGGCAAAACAAACAGCTAGCATCATAATGACAGGATCAAATTCACACATGACAATATTAACTTTAAATGTAAATGAAATAAATGCCCCAATTAAAAGACACAGACTGGCAAATTAGATACAGAGTCAAGATCCATAAGTGTGCTGTATTCAGGAGACCCATCTCACGTGTAAAGACACGCATAGGCTCAAAATAAAGGGATGGAGGAATATTTACCAAGCAAATGGAAAGCAAAACAAAAGCAGGAAATGCAAACCTAATATCTGATCAAACAGACTTTAAACCAACAAAGATCAAAAGAGACAAAGAAGGGCATTACATAATGGTAAAGGGATCAATGCAGCTAGAAGAGCTAACTATCCTAAATATATATGCACCCAATACAGGAGCACCCAGATTCATAAAACAAGTTTTTAGAGACCTACAAAGAGACTTAGACTCCCACACAATAATAATGGGAGACTTTAACACACCACTGTCAATATTAGACAGATCAATGAGACAGAAAATTAATAGGACTTGAACTCAGCTCTGGACCAAGCAGACCTAACAGACATCTACAGAACTCTCCACCCCAAATCAACAGAATATACATTCTTCTCACCACCTTATTGCACTTATTCTAAAATTGACCACATAATTGGAAGTAAAACATTCCTCAGCAAATGCAAAAGAAGAGAAATCATAACAAACAGTCTCTTGGACCACAGTGCAATCAAATTAGAACTCAGGATTAAGAAACTCACTCAAAACCGCACAACTACATGGAACCTGAACAACCTGCTCCTGAATGACTACTGGGTAAATAATGAAATGAAGACAGAAATAAAGATGTTGCTGAAACCAATGAGAGAAAAGACACAATGTACCAGAATCTCTGGAACACATTTAAAGCAGTGTGTAGAGGGAAATTTATGGCACTAAATGCCCATAAGAGAAAGCAGGGAAGATCTAAAATTGACACCCTAACATTAAAATTAAAGGAACTAGAGAAGCAGCAGCAAATAAATTCAAAATCTAGCAGAAGACAAGAAATAACTAAGATCAGAGCAGAACTGAAGGAGATAGAGACACAAAAAATCCTTTAAAAAAATCAATGAATCCGGGAGCTCGTTTTTTGAAAAGATCAACAAAATAGATATACTGCTAGCCAGACTAATAAAGAAGAAAAGAGAGAAGAATCAAATAGATGCAATAAAAAATGATATAGGGGATATCACCACTGATCTCACAGAAATACAAACTATCATCAGAAAATACTATAAACACCTCTACATAAATAAATAAGAAAATCTAGAAGGAATGGATAAATTCCTGGACATATACAACCTCACAAGTCTAAACCAGGAAAAAGTCGAATCCCTGAATAAAGCAATAACAAGTTCTGAAATTGAGGCAGTAATTAATAGCCGACCAACCAGAAAAAGTCCAGGACTAGACGGATTCACAGCCAAATTCTACCAGAGGTACAAAGAGGAGCTGGTACCATTCCTTCTGAGACTATTCAAAACAAGGGAAAAAGAGGGAATCCTCCCTAACTCGTTTTATGAGACCAGCATCATCCTGATACCAAAACCTGGCAGAGGCACAACAAAAAAGAAAATTTCAGGCCAATATCCTTGGTGAACATCAATGTGAAAATCTGAAATAGAATACTGGCAAACCAAATCCAGCAGCACATCAAAAAGTTTATCCACCATGATCAAGTTGGCTTCATAGCTGGGATGCAAGCCTGGTTCAACATACGCAAATCAATAAACGTAATCCATCACATAAACAGAACCAATGACAAAAAACCACATGATTATCTCAATAGATGCAGCAAAGGCCTTCAACAAAATTTCACACCCCTTCACCCTAAAAACTCTCAATAAACTAGGTATCAATGGAACATATCTCAAAATAAAAAGAGCTATTTATGACAAACCCACAGCCAACATCATACTGAATGGGCAAAAACTGGAAGCTTTCCCTTTGAAAACTGGCACAAGACAAGGATGCCCTCTCTCACCACTCCTATTCAACACAGTATTGGAAGTTTTGGCCAGGACAATAAGACAAGAGAAAGAAATAAAGGGTATTCAAATAGGAAGAGAGGAAGTCAAATTGTCTCTGTTTGCAGATGACATGATTGTATACTTAGAAAAGCCCATTGTCTCAGCTCCAAATCTCCTTAAGCTGATAAGCAACTTCCGCAAATGCTCAGGATACAAAATCATTGTGCAAAAATCACAAGCATTCCTATACACCAAGAACAGAGAGCCAAATCATGAGTGAACTCCCATTCACAATTGCTACTATGAGAATAAAATACCTAAGAATACAATTTACAAGGGATGTGAAGGACTTCTTCAAGGAGAACTACAAACCACTGCTCAAGGAAATAAGAGAGGACACAAACAAATGGACAAATATTCCATGCTCATGGATAGGAAGAATCAATGTCGTGAAAATGGCCATACCGCCCAAAGTAATTTATAGATTCAATGCTGTCCTCATCAAGCTACCAATGACTTTCTTCACAGAATTGGAAAAAACAACTTTAAACTTCATGTGAAACCAAAAAAGAACCCACATAGCCAAGACAATCCCGGGCAAGAAAAACAAAGCTGGAGGCATCATGCTACATGACTTCAAATTATACTACAAGGCTACAGTAACCAAAACAGCATGGTACTGGTACCAGAACAGACATATAGACCAATGGAACAGAACAGAGCCCTCAGAAATAACACCACACATCTACAACCATCTGATCTTTGACAAACCTGACAAAAACAAGCGATGGGGAAAAGATTCCCTATTTAATAAATGGTGTTGGGAAAACTGGCCAGCCATATGCAGAAAACTGAAACTGGACCCCTTCCTTACACCTTATACAAAAATCAACTCAAGATGGATCAAAGACTTAAACGTAAGACCTAGGACCATAAAAATCCTAGAAGGAAACCTGGGCAATACCCTTCAGGACATAGGCATGGGCAAAGACTTCATGTCTGAAACACCAAAAGCAACGGCAACAAAAACCAAAATTGACAAATGGGATCTAATTAAACTAAACAGCTTCTGAACAGCAAAAGAAACTATCATCAGAGTGAACAGGCAACCTACAGAATGGGAGAAAATTTTTGCAATCTATCTATCTGACAAAGGGCTAATATCCATTATCTACAAAGATCTTAAACAAATTTACAAGAAAAAAACAAACAACTCATCAAAAAGTAGGCAAAGGATATAAACAGACACTTCTCAAAAGAAGACATTTATGCAGCCAACTGACATATGAAAAAATGCTCATCATCACTGGTCATTAGAGAAATGCAAATCAAAACCACAGTGAGATACCATCTCATGCCAGTTAGAATGGCGATCATTAAAAAATCAGGAAACAACAGATGCTGAAGAGGATGTGGTGAAATAAAAACGCTTTTACGCTATTAGTGGGACTGTAAATTAGTTCAACCATTGTGGAAGACAATATGGCAATTCCTCAAGGATCTAGAACTAGAAATACCATTTGACCCAGCAATCCCATTACTGGGCATACACCCAAATGATTATAAGTCATTCTACTATAAAGACACATGCACGCGTATGTTTATTGTGGCACTATTCACAATAGCAAAGACTTGGAACCAACCCAAATGTCCATCAACAATAGACTGGATAAAGAAAATGTGGCACATATACACCATGGAATACTATGCAGCCATAAAAAAGGATGAGTTCATGTCCTTTGCAGGAACATGGATGAAGCTGGAAATCATCATTCTCAGCAAACTATCACAAGGACAGAAAACCAAACACTGCATATTCTCACTCATAGGTGATGTTCTCTTAAGGCCCAAAGGCTCTTCAATCCTTTGTGGTAAATACTGCCTGGCCCGGGACTCACCCTTCAAGCAAGTGGGCTCCCCTCTGACCCAGGGCAGGTTCAGAAATGCTGCCCAAGAGCCAAGTCCCAAACTTGGGAATCACAAGAGCCCACTTGTGTTCTATCCCCCTGTGGCTGAGGTGGTACCTAAAGTGTAAGACAACGTCTCTTTTACTTTTACCTCCACTTTTGTCAAGCAGAAGGAATCTCTCTCTGTATCCATAACATCTGGGAATATGCTGAGTCTCACCTTGAGGCCAGCAAGTTGCAATCCCTCACCCAACACACTCAACATAGTACCTGAGTATTGTTGCTGGTTATTCAGGGCCCAAGGTCTCTTCAGTTAGCAGATGATAAATCTTGCCAGGACTGGGTCCTTCCTTTCAAGGCAGCAGTTCCCTTCTGGCCCAGGGTGTATCTAGAAACGTCTGGGAGCAAGGGCCAGGAAAGGGGCCTCACAGCTTTGACCACTGCCCTATCCTACTTTGGTTAAGCTAGTATCCAAGATGCAAAGTCCTCCCCACTTGTACATTTTCTCTTCTCAAACAGAAGGAAGGGGTTTCTTTTGGAGCCACAGGCTGTGCAGCCCTGTGTTAGTCGGAGTGTGATGTCAACACTCCCTTAACCACACCAACTGGTGTCTCGGTAGGTTGCATATCCCCCTAGTCTACTGTCTCTGGGTCCAGATCAGCCCCAGGACTCACCTAGGTGTTGCAGTCCTTGTGGCCTAGACTGCCTTTCAAGTTTATTTGGAGCACCAGCACACTTTAGCTCATGGTGGTGAAGCTTGTGGGAACTTAGGTTCCAACCACTGGAATCAGCAATTCCCCTCTATCTAGGGCTGGTTCAAATGTACCCTCTGTGGGCAGACATCAACTGAGTTTGGTCAGGTTTTGCTTTCTGCTGTAACAAGGGCAGCACTGAGTTTAACGTCTCACAATCGCTGGCTCTCCCTCTTCCCAGGGAGCAGAAGCGCTCTCCACACCATTCAGTTGCTGCTGGGGGAGGAAGAAGGGTTGCACCAGAGATTCAAGACTGTTTTTCCTATCTCTTCAGTTCCTCTTTCAGGCACATGAAGTTAAAAATCAGGTACTGTGGGTGCTAACCTGAGTTTTGGTTCTTACAAAAGTACCTGTTTTCTTGTAGATGGTTGTTAAATTGGCATCCTTGCAGGGAGGACTATTGGTGGAACCTTCTATTCTGCCATCTTTCTCCACCCCTCTAGCCCCAATAAATCATTTAAAATAGAATCATATACAGTCATGCGTCATTTAAAGACATAAATATACTATGAGAAATCCATTGTTAGGTGATCTCATTGTTGTGTAAACTTCACAGAGTATACTTACACAAATCTAGATGGAATAGCCTACTATACACCTAGGCTATACACTATATCCTATGGCTTCTAGGCTACAAACCTACAGAACATGTTACTATACTGAATACTGTAGGCAATTGTAACACAATAGTAAGTATTTGTGTTCTAAACATAACTAAACATAGAAAAGGTACGGTAAAAATTCGGTATTACAATCTTACAGGACTACCATCATATATGTGGTCCATCATTGATGGAAACAGTTTTATGTGGTGCATGATGTACATTATTCTCAATTTTTTCATGGCCTTAATCCACCACATCTAATCAGTTACTAATCCCTCCTTTCTTAATATTATCTTCATTCCTAGTGCCAATACCTTAGTTCTGATCTACATGATCTCTTACTGGTTTATTATAATAATCACATGCAACCCCCAGACCCACTCTGCATCCTTTGATTCCCTAAGCCCTTTGATAGGCACTTCTTTGCTAGCAAACAAAAGTATGGCACATAATTGTTATCCAAATATCAAATCAAACTACTTCATATCATATTTTTTATGTTACATTTGCTGTATTACAAAGGATTTTTGTTGATTTCTTAATACTTTATAAAACTCGAGTCAGTAAATGGAGAATTATTTCTTTTCTCCTTAGCTTTTATAGGTTGAGTATTCCTTATCCAAAGCGCTTGGGACCAGAAGCATTTTGGATTTCAGATTATTATGGATTTTGGAATATTTGCACATATGTAAAGAGATAACGTGGGGATGGAATCCAAGACTAAACATAAAATTTAATTATACTTTACATGCACCTTACACAGACAGCCTGAAAGTAATTTGATACAATATTTTAATTAATTTTGTGCTTGAAACAAAGTTTTGACTGTGTTTTGACTGCAACCTGTCACATGAGGTCAGGTGTGGAATTTGCCAGTTGTGGCATCATGTCAGTGCTCAAAAGTTTCAGATTTTGGAACACTTTGAAATTCAGATTTTCAGATTAGGAATACTCAACCTGTAGTAAGTTAAATTCAGTCTCAAAAAAAAGTGTAGCGCGAGGTTATTTTCTAAAATATTCTGCTCTAAAACATATTACAGACAAAATTAGTCTTCACAAGTTGTGTAAAGCCATCTAACTAAAATGTTTCATCTAGAAATAATGCATATTTATTTCCGTGGTTTCACACCCATTTTGCTGCTAGTACCTATAGAGAATTCTGTTATGATCTAGTTCATGATACATGATATTTTTATTTCTCAGAACCACAGGATTGTGTTTTGCCATGTTTTGTATTTCTATCACTCACCTACAATGAGCCAGTCAAAATGGAATCACTAAAACATAACTATTATCTCATCTCATCTATAAGTAAACATACATATATATGTAAATTGTTCTCATAGTTCTTTAAAAGATGAGGAAGAAAACTTTCAGAGGAAAAGCATGAAAAAGGCACTTAAAACAGTACTGGAATAAAAGAATCAGTTTTCTTAATGCATAAAAAATTAATTTTGAATTGTCCCTAAATATTATCTTCCTGCATATACTATACACGTGCACAGATGTGCATATAAACACGTACCACATATACATGTGAAACCTATTTAAAACTGTAACCTTTATAACTGTGAATCACACACATAGTATGTATCTGAGTAACCTAATTCATGTGCCACAGAAAACCGCAGTAGCCAAGTAGCCACTTCGAGTTGCTTAGTGTCCATCCATTTGAACTTAGTTCTCCTATCAAAAGCTTTTTGTACTTTTTTATCACTTCCATCATTTTCTGTTTTGTACTCATTTTGCCCATATATTAACCTAAAAAAAAGATACATTCAGACAAATACTTTATTCACATCCAAGCTAAAAGGACATGGCGTGATGGGAGAATAGGGGGGAAGCTTCTGGAATCTCCAGCATCCCTATGTCAAGCGTTGCCTTCCATGCTATGATTCAGCCATGAAGGCCTTCGAAAATTCCCTCATGCCCCAAGCTCTTGAGATCCCTAAGGTTTTTCTTTATGGAGTTCCCTGTCTCTAGACGATTCCTCCCTGCTATTGGCTTAGAAGCTCCTTTCCTTCTTTCAAGTCTCAGTGTGATGTCCCTTTGCCAGTGAGGCTTACTCTACTTCTTAATGTACAGAATGTCCCCTGTTATTCTCCCTTACAGCATTCTCTTTTTCTCATTTTAAAATTTACCAGTGTTAGGGCAGATTTATTTGTAAATTTACAAGTATAATGCCATCTCTTGCAGTAGACAATGAGTTCTATAAGGGAGGGCCTTCTGGTTTTTTACCACTATTATGCAACACTCAGCATAATGCCTGGCCCCATATATGGTAGATGCACAATGAATATTTAAGAAAGGAAAAAGGAAGGGAGAAAAAGAGAGACAGAGAGAGAAATGAATAACAGAGAAAGCTAAGAAAAAAGGAAAGCCAATAAAACCAAGCACATTGTAACTTTTAAAAGGAAAGGAAGGATAAGAAATAACAAGCAGAAAATAGAGGAAAGATGGACACAAAGAAAAAAGCATTATAATCTAGTGGGAACAAAAATACAAAGAAAGCATAAAATGAAAACTAAATGATCTCTGATGGCAGTCCAGCCATTCCAGCACTTTTCTATGAATATCAAGTAGAAAACCAGACTGAAACAGGATTATGACTGTCACCAGTGAAAAAATTTCATATTGATGTCTACTTGTAATGCATGCATTGGTTTATTAACCCAAACTCCTTGAGTCAGCACAACAAATCCGGCTAATGGTCTTTAGAGCAGCCTAAATTTGCCCTTTAGGGTTATGATTTAGCTGACAGATGTGTAAAAACTCTTGTAGCCAGTTACCTCAGTATTGATTACATATCCGTGAGGCTCATAGACTCATGTTTTTCCAGCTAAGGTCAGCATTACCTTAAAGCCTTGTGCCCTGATGCCGAGTTGTCTGTATTAGAGGGCATGACATAAATTCAGTTTATGGCTTGGCCACTTCCACTTTATACCACTGGTGTTTGTGTAGATGAATATGGAAGACATTGATCTAAAGTTCTCTTCTGGGAAATAAACGTGTGTCAGTGAATTTTGGGTTAAGGCCAAAGCCTGTTGCCATCTCCCCCTTGCACAGAAGCAAAGCCAAGTCTTAAAGTTGTCAGAGGATATTTCTAAGTGAACTTGGACAACAAATATGCAGCTGTCAATGAAGCTTGCCCTGATGGCTTTATTTCAAATTACAAAGTGACACTTTTGCCACATTCCCAATCCCTGTTAACCTGCTCTACATTTTTTATTGCACTTAGCACCTCCTAACATATTTCATTATTTATGCTATTTATTATTTATACACATATTTCACTGGAATATAACTGAATGCGGTCAAGAGTGTATATTTCTGTATTTTTATTTTTTGTGGGTTCATGGTAGGTGTATATATTTATGGGGCACATCAGATATTCTGATACAGCTATACAAGGCATAATAATCACATCAGGGTGTATGGGGTATCCATCACCTCAAGAATTAATCCTTTCTTTGTGTTACAAATAATCCAATTATACCCTTTTGTTATTTTTAAATATGCAATAAATTATTGCTGACTATAATTATCCTGTCATCCTATCAAATGCTAGATCTTATTTATTCTATTTGACTATATTTTTCTACCCATTAACCATCCCCACTTCACTCTTCCTTGCCCTCACCCACTATCCTTCCCAGCATCTGGTAACCATGATTTTACTCTCTGTTTCCATGAGTTCAGTTTTAATTTTTAGTTCCCACAAATGAAGAGAACATGCAAAGTTTGTCTTTCTGTGCCTGGCTTATTTCACTTAAAATAATATCCTCCAGTTCCATCCATACTGTTCTAAATGATAGAATCTCAATCTTTCTTATGGCTGAAAAGTTCTCCATTTTGTATATGTATCACGTTTCCTCTATCCATTCATCTACAGAGGAACATCACCTATTTTGTTCACTAGTGTATTCCAAGCACTCAGAACAGTGACTGTCACATAATAGGTAGGCACTTGATTCATATTCATTAAATGATGAATCAATGAATGAATAAGTGAATGAAGATCAGTATTGTGTATTGTGGAGTGTAAGGAGGCAGGTACAAAGATATAGACATGAGGATCTTTGCCTTTGAAGAGCTTGCGATTTAATTGGGAAAATAAACACTCAGAAAAGCAGACAAAAACTCCTATGAAATAGCAAACAGTAATAAATAGAATTACATACATTAATAAATACAGTGGAACCATAAAGGAGGCAGCTAACTGCAGCAGGAATAACACCAGACTTGGAAAATTGGGGTGAATCTTGGCTCTTCCATGTAACAACTATATTACCTCAGGCATGTCACTTAAATACTCTTGAGCATCAGATTTCTTGTTAGTATGAGTGAATAATAATGGCTTCCTCATGAGATTATTGTGAGAATAAAGTAAGATAAATGTGAAAGTAACTGGCTAATAATATTTACTCAATAAATGTCTATCAGTTGAACAGACTTTCTAATTTAGAGACAAGAAAAGGCAAGCAGAGTGGTTAGTTTACTTGCACAAGGTCACACAGTTAGTGTTAGATTAGGAATCCCAAGACTCCTGATTTTCAGCCCAGTGTTACTGAAAATAGGACATAGTGCCTACCATGTCCCTCAGCTTATTCATATGAGCCATTCTGTTTCTTACACACAACAAAAATTTATTATTTGTTCTAGAAAAGGGGCATCATTTCCCTGAAATGTCCTCATTAGGCTCCAAGATGTCTAAGCTCTGTCTCTCTTTAATCGGTTTACTTGTGAAGGAGCAATTTGCTTTACGACCTCTTTGCAGAGTCTGAAGGGTTTATGACTATGTGGTGTCAACAAGAAGGTCTAAGATGCTTTCAGTTCCATTTACTAGCTTCGGAGTCTTCATATTGTAGGAGCCTATTTATTCTGAAAAGACTGGAGTTTGAACATTAAATCTGAGCACTCCGCATGCTTTTAAGCTTACTGTCAAATGGAACAATCACTTCTCATGGTCTGTTCTACAACCAAAGCAGCATTTTCTAAGACAATATCATCAGTATTAATGTGATGTGTTTTTAATAATAACACATCAACCTGTCCTTTCACAAGGCTTCAAATGGGTTGGATGGGACTGTTGTAGTCACTCTCATAACCTTTTTGTTAGTGGAAATATAGATTTTCAGGGAGTTGACAGACATATTGACTCAAGTCTAGGAACTTGCAGTACTGAATCTGTAATCATAGAAAGGGTGTACTATTTCCTTACTTTCAAACACATAAGTCGAGGCAGGTGTAAACAGGGAAGAGAGTAACTAAAGTCTCAGAGGCCTCAAACCTATCCATCATGCAACTAATTAGCACCACATGAATCCTAAATTTTGTAGTGGAATCCCAAAATAATGCTGAGGGGTGGGAAAGGAGCATGGTAAAGGTAACTCAAGCAAAAGCTTATTCTAACTACCTCAAGTACAAAAAAGTATGGTTGTTGTCGAGATATCACTGTGTTGGTAATTAAAGAGCAGAATATGAAACACAGTCAAACAACAGTTTCAGCCTCTCAAATGATACACTCACTCTTGTCTCTGTCATAATCTGTGAATCTGTTCCATTTTCCTCCCTCTAATGATCCATTTTTTTTTTCCTCCTTACCAATCAACAGTTATATGAACTTTTAGGTCAAATTCCCAATGTTCAATGACCCAAATTTATGTTGTCTCAATTTTCATGATCCTAAAAAAAGAGAGAAGAATCTCACTGGTCTTGTCAATCTTACCTAACTAGGAAACCGGTATGGCTGGGAACTCTGGGGAAGGTGGGGTCACATGGGCAGCAAGGCTTATAGTAGGGGCAGGTTCTTCAGAAATCTGGAGTTGAAAATGATAAACAGATCCCCCCCCCCTCCATGAGTGGGAAACATGCTTGCTTATTAATTCTGGAATTAATCCACTTCTCCTAGTCACAGTACCTTGTTTTAGCCAAAAATACTGTCATTGTTCACCTTTATTACTGTATCACCTCCAAACTGTTCTCCCCGTGTCCAGATTCTCCTCTTCTAAATTTGTTCTAGCTGCAATCAAATAATTTTACTATGTCATTTTCCTGTTGACTACTCTAAAATGGCTCCCTACTTGCTCCTTAGAGGGAGACAAAGTCCAAATTCTTCAATATGCAGCACAAAGCCCATCTGGCCCACTGTCACAGACTCATACCTCTTTGTTTCATGTGCTCTTTCCAAGCCACCCACTGTGCTGTGACTCAGACAAACTACTTCTCATTTCTTAGACACACCTGACTCTTTCTTGTCTCCAAATTCTCTGCATATTCTGTTTATTTCACCTGGCATACTGTCCTCCTTTCTTACATCTGTCTAGTTATAGTTGTCCTTTAAAAATCAATAGAGATGCAAATTTCTCAAAAAAAAACACATTTTTTGATCTCCCACATGCTAGGACAGGTTTCCCCTATGTATTCCTGCTCTGGCACACATTTTACTTGATTGTCATGGGCTGTTTACTCTTCTATGCCCATCACTCCACAGAATCTCAGCACCCAGGAGGCAGACCTTTTTTGCAATGCATTGTATCTTTCCAACACAGGGCCTGGCACATAGTAGATGCTCAAGAAATATTTCTTGACTAAATGAAGGAGAAGACAAGGGCATCTCAAAGACTTCTGAAATCACCTCCTAGTTCTAGCCTATGGTCATTCAGCCACTGCTTAATAACTTTCATCTTTCTGCATCATGGTTGACAAGATAAAGCAGTCCAAAGAGGTAGCAAAGCATAGTCTCCATAGCTTTAAAAATCAACATGACCGACCCGCTTTTCCCTAATATATACTTAAAATGATTGCAAAATATATTACTTCTGGTTTCCAACCTTAGGCCTGTCCCCTAGCACTGGAGTGATTGAAGGTACTTGGAATTGGCCTGCTGACAGGTATTTAGATATACACATTGCCAGAGATATGCTTCTGAGTCCCCAAGTCCCCACTGTCCCTCTAACAAAACACAGGAAATTAAAGGCCTTAACTGAGAATGTAAACTCAATCTCTGAAATAAATTGCACACCAAGCACATCCCCACACAACCCCCAAAAGGTCATGTTCTGAAAAGCCCAACTTTGCTCAGGTCAGGAAAGAAACATGATAACTCATGGTATTTTTTTAAAAAGTCAGTTTTTTTCTCTTTGTATTTGTCACAGCTGCTAATAACTTTTTACTATGTTTAGCTTCCACCTATCATTTGGGGAATATTTTGTGGAACCCATTTAAACTTACAAATAGGGTCTTCCTACCTTCTGTGAGTCCACAGATTACCCAACTGGAACATGCCTAGGACATTGAAACCGGTCTGTGGGATTGCCATGTCTCATTAAAGCTTGGCAAGAAACTAAAAAGCTGTTTAACTTTTCAGCTGCCCAGAAACACAACCTGATTAACATGAGTAGACGTTTAGTAGTTTATGAAACAAGGTTCTAACCAGCTTTTAAATCTACTAATCTTCTCTCATGGCTGTGCCCACGAGTCCCAGAAAAGCAGCCACTTAGCTCTTAGCTCACATCTCCTGGTCCCAGACCCTCAGCCAGTTTTCATGCATGACTTTATAGTCACAGCAACAGCTACCAGCAGAAGGAACTTGTACTATTTGAGTATTTAAATGTTATCCATGCTAAAATCAGAGGAAGAATTCTGTTTGATTTTTAAGATGAAAATTTAACTAGAGAATTTTTCTTTTTTCCTTTTTTAAAAGTTTGAATTAAATCTCTCTTTTACAAAAACCTACGCTCTCCTCATTGGGTGGCATTTCACTAAAGTCTGATAACAGCAGCTTTTCCTGAGATGAACATCTCTCCGATGCAGTGCTTCCCTCTATATCTCAGCATCAGTTTTCATTCGTACGAAACACATGCTGTAAGTGATGATATGGCAGCTACCTGGCTTGCTCCTGACAACTGGTACTCTTGCTAGGGGCAAAAATAGCAACAAAGGGGACATTATCTTCCCTAAGAAGAGGGCTTTATCCAGGGTGAGTGACCACATTTCAGTCTTATCTATTTATTAGTTTCAATATTCCAAAACTTAGACCAGATTTCTGTCACGGTGATGAGCGTCTGCAAAATGTTACCTCACACCAATCTCAATGGAAAGCTACTTTCAAAACAAACAAACAAAACAAAGAAGGAAAACTACTATTTTTATTTCAGTGCAGAAGAGTTTTGGTTTTGTTTGGTCTTTGTTTTTTCTCCGACCTTCCAGCCAAAGAGTAGTTTTAGGATTAAATGGGCATAATAGAGTTGATGTTTGGGTAGCTTCACCACATTTCACAGGCATCCTTGTATTACTCAGATCCATCTTTTACAATTTTAGCCCTGCGCATAGACTGTCATTGTGCTATTAATTTAATCTGTTTTCAGAATTTGATTTCAGCAAGCAAATGTCATCATACCTCAGTTCTTTCCAAAAACAAATACCTAGTTCTTCCAAAGTATAATTTTATGTGAAACCTTAACAAAAAAAGACTTCATATTCCCCACATGTTCTCATTGCCACTCATCTCTCAACCCCTTTACAAGATACATTCTACTTGCACCATTCTTGTGGATGTATTTCCTAAAACCAACAATCTCCTAATGACCATTTTCTAGACTTTTTCTTGTAAGAACTGCTGAAGACTTAGCACAGGTCATTATCATTATATTTTTTATATACTCCACCTTTTTAGCTTCTAAAACTTTGAGATAAGTTTGCTTTGCTTTATCTCACTGACTGCTCTTTCCCTAGTTACTTAAGTTTTTTCTTACTCTTGACCCAGGACTGGGGATTATTCAGGATTCTTTTCTTAGCTGTGGCCTTATTTCTCTTCTTACAGGAGTAAATTGTTATGACCCAGGTATGACAAAGAGCTCTTGAATAGACTCAAAAAGCATATGTGATAAAAGAGAAGATTGAAAAGTTGAAATTTATCAAAATTTACAATTTATGTGCATCATAGAACACCACCAAGAAAGTGAAGCAACAAACTACAGATGGAAAAAATACTTGCAAACCATATGTCTTATATCCAGAATATGTAAAAAATTTTTACAACTCAACAATAAAAAAACAAATAAACCAACTTTTGAAGGAGCAAAGCATTTGTATAGACATTTATCCAAAGAAGTTATATGAATGGCTAATAGGCACGTGAAAACATGCTCAATATCATTAGCCATAGGGAAATTTAAGGAAACACATGCTACATCAGCCTCTACATATTACATCATTCTACTTCTGTTGCCTCTGGTTTCCAGTTGGGTTCAGTCAATGGGAAGTATTAATAGAAGATATAAGCATAGTGGGAAATATAGACATTGAAGTATTTATTCCCCTGGCAAACTCCTGTGAGGTTTTGTGTTGAGAGAGAATGCATTACTCTAACAATGGCAAAGCTCCTGTTGGGTGATCCTCTCATAGACTTGCAACTACAGTGACAGGCCCTGGTACCCATTTCTTCCACTTTCAGCTTGAGGCTTGCTTCCCCATTTACTCCCAGGAGCACTTCATCCTTCCTTCTTGTTTTTATTTTTTTGTTTTGTTTTTTTTGTTTTGTTTTAGTCTTGCCTTCAACCATGTAAATGATTCCTTCATAAATCTTTCTTCCACCCCCTTTTTTGAGTGGACCATCTATTTTGAAGAAGCAGGCTACTAATGTAGCCACTCTCCACAGAAAAGTCCCATCTCACCAGGTTTCTTCTGAGGAGCAAGACACAAGCCCCCACTACTCCACAATGCCATGGACACCTATCTTTTCTTTCTGTCTTTGGAAAATTATTTTTAGGTGGAGCAAATCCTTCTCTCTCTGTTCAGGTTTTCTTCAGAAGCCCTTCGCTTCTCTGTCTGAAGAATGTACAGCATAACCTCCTCATGGACTTGATTTTGGAGAGAAAATTAAGAAAGTAAAATTGTCATGTAGTTTCTTACATTACCACAAACCTCCCTGTGAGGTAAGAGAGCCTAGAAATTGTATTATTTAAGAAGAGGGAAAGAGAAAAAGGAGACAACTTCAATCATTGTTAAAAAAAATTACCTCTGCCACACTATCCTCTATGCCAGCATTTCTCAACTGGGGGCAATTTTGCCTCCTAGGGGTTATTTGACAATGTCTGAAGGTATTTTTAGTTGTTACACAAGAAAAGTACTAATGTTATCTCATGAACAGAAGCCAGGGATACCACTAAATGTTTTACAATGAAGAAGACGGCCCTTATATTAAAGAACTAGTCAAGACAAGATGTTAATAGTGCTGAGGTTAAGAACCCTGAATTGTGCTGACTTACGTGGTTCTATGAAGAGATGAGCAGCTGTAGCTTTAGCTGACTGACTGCTATGCTGCATCTATCATCTGAGCCAAATTCAAATTCCAGGTTTCCACCTATAAGTTTAGAGTACGTCTCTAATTCGCCTTGACAGATAGTATATGCCTGACTTTATTCTACAAATTTTCAGTTAAATGGAATGTCTCTGTGGTTCCTTTACCTACCCTTCCAAATAGTTATACCTATGATTTCCTAATTCTCCTGCCTTAGGCTGTTCTGTTTCTGTTTGCTGAACTAGTAGCCTCTCCTCCTTATCCTCAGGTGTCCAAACCAGGTCAATACATCACCAGGTCAAAAACTTTTTCCTATCTCAACCCCCATTACTCTATATTTTTCTGTCTTCATCATAGGAACAAGATCTCCCACATCAAAATCTTCTAGAACTTTCCATGGTGTTTATTATCTTTTTCTTAATGTTTACTAACATTTTATTTTTAATAGCGAAAAATTGAATGCAATCTAAATGACAAAACTTAAGACAATGATTTGATAAACTAAATCCAATGATATATCCAATGAATATATCATGCAGTTAGCAAAATGGTAATACTCTACTTTTTTAACTTTTATTTTAGGTTCACGGGTACATGTGCAGGTTTCTTATGCAGGTAAACTTCATGTCACGAGGGTTTGGTGTACAAATAATTTTGTCACCCAGGAAATAAGCATAGCATCCTATAGCTATTTTTTTCTGATCTCCTTACCTCTCCCACGCTCCACCCTGAAGAAGGTCCCAGTGTCAGTTATTCCCCTTCTAGTATCCATGGTTCTCATTGTTCAGCTCCCAGTTATAAGTGAGGACATGTGGTATTTGGTTTTATGTTCCTGCATTAGTTTGCTTAAAATAATGGCCTCCAGCTCCATCCATGTTGCTGCAAAGGACATAATCTTAATGGTTTTTGTTTTGTTTTGTTTTTGGCTGGATAGTATTCCATGGTGAATATGTATCACATTTTCTTTATCCAATCTATCATTGATGGACATTTAGGTTGATTCCATGTCTTTTCTATTAGAAATAGTGTTGCAATGAACATATGCATGCATGTGTCTTTATGGTAGAATGATTTATATTCCTCTGGGTATATACCAATAATGGGATTGCTGGGTCTAATAGTAATTCTGTTTTTAGCTCTTTGAGGAATCACCACACTATTTTCCACAATGGCTGAATTAATTTACACTCTCAGCAACAGTGTAAACGTGTTCTCTTTTCCCTGCAACCTCACCAGGATCTGTTTGGTTGTTGTTGTTGTTGTTGTTTTTACTTTTTAATAATAGCAATTCTGACTGATGTGAGATGACGTCTCAGTGTGGTTTTGCTTTGCATTTCTCTCATGATTACTGATGTTGAGCATTTTTTCTATGTTTGCTGGCTGCATGTATGTCTTCTTTTGAAAAGTGTCCATTCATGTCCTTTGCCCACTCTTTGATGGGGTTATTTTTTTCTTGTAAATTTGTTTAAGTTTCTTATAGATTCTGGATATTAGACCTTTCTCAGATGCATACCTTACAAAAATTTCTCCCATGCTCTAGGTTGTCTGTTTACCCTGTTAATGGGTTTTTTAAAAAACTTTACCCTGTTAACTTACTTGATTAATAATCTTTGGCTGTGCAGGAGCTCCATAGTTTAATTACATCCCATTTGTCAATGTTTTTTGTTTCAATTGCTTTTGGCATCTTTGTCATGAAATCTTTGCCAGGTCATATGTCCAGAATGGTATGTACTAGGTTATCTTCCAGAGTTTTTCTAGTTTCGGGTTATACATTTTAAGTGTTTAATCCATCTTGAGTTAATTTTTGTATGTGATATATGGTAGAGTCCAGTTTAAATCTTCTGCATATGGCTAGCCAGTTATCCCAGCACCGCTTATTGAATAGGGAGTCTTTTCCTGATTGCTTGTTTTTATCAGCTTTGTTGAAGATCAGATGGTTGTAGATGTGTGGCCTTAATGCTGAACTCTTTATTCTGTTCCACTGGTCTATGTGTCTGTACCCAGTACCATGCTGTTTGGGTTACTGTAGCCGCATAGTATAGTTGATGTTGGGTAACATAATGCCTCCAGCTTTATTATTTTTGCTTAGGATTGCCTTGGCTATTCAAGCTTTTTTTTTGGTTGCATATGAATATTTGTTTTCCAATTCTGAAGAATGTCATTAGTATTTGATAGGAATAGCATTGAATCTGTAAATTACTTCAAATCTGTAAGTATGGCCATTTTAACAATATTGATTATTTCTATCCATAAGTATGAAATGTTGTTCCATTTGTTTGTATCATCTCAGATTTCTTTCAGCAGTGTTTTGTAATTCTCATCGTAGAGGTTTTTAACGTCCCTGGTTAGCTGTACTCCTAGGTATTTTACTCTTTTTGTCCCAATTGTGAATGGGATTACACCTCCAATTTGGCTCTCAGCTTGGATGTTGTTTGTGTATAAGAATGCTAGAGATGTGCCCTGCCATCTGTGTTTTTACAGGGACATCAGGAAGCTGCATCCACCAGTTGAGTTCACATAAAAGTGGGATTGCTGGGCTGAAAGCTCTAGCAAGCGTTGGCAACCTGGCTACCAGTGGTGAAGGTAGGTAGAGTGGCCAGCCATGTTCAGGCCAAAGCAGGACAGCTGGGCTGTAAGCTGGACCTGAGCCCTGCCCAGCAAGGGGTGGCTAGAGCAATCTTACTGTTCCCAGGCACTACAGCTGCAGCCTCGACTGGGGATATGGCACCAGTGCTGGTGTGTTCTGGGGCTTGAGGCTTGTAGAGGTCCCCTCAGACATAAGAGTTACCCCCACAAAATGTCCAGGGGACTCTCTGCCCCTACATAGATGTGCAGTGGGGGGTGGAGTACAGGGGGACCAAGGCGATTTATCCATTCCCAGTCTTGTACGGGTGTCTGTGGAGAGCATGAATCCCCCTGGGTGTTCTCACTCACTCACCCTCTCCTATGTTGGAGAGGTTCTCCTGGCTCTACACTGAGCCTAAACCCACAGGTACCCAGCTTCGCTCCTCTCTGCTCTTCGTGTTTTCCTGCTGTCTTGTTGGACTCTGACATGGTTTCCCAGATGATCAGCCTACAGTGTCAGTCTTCACTTGCTCTTTTGTTTCCCCTCCATAAGCTGCTTCTAGTTTGACATCCTGGCTCCACCCCTCCCCATCTTTTGTCTTATATTGTGGTCACTTGGCAAATATCTGTTCTCCAGTACTAAAC